>NC_000008.11:45196758-45344932 GCF_000001405.40 Homo sapiens
TAAACTTAAGGCTGATGAGACAGAAATAATTTGATAAAGGCTTATTGGAAGGCAAATGTGAGAATTGACCCAGGAAGACACACCAGCAGAGTTGGGCATGTTCCCGAGTCTGTCCCAAGGACAAAGGTTTTTACAGGAAAGTTTAAAACAAGGGCGTGGGGTCCTCATACCAGAATTGTCCTCTTTTTTTCTTCCTTTTCTTTTTTTTTTTTTTTTTTTGAGACGGAGTTTCGCTCTTGCCCAGGCTGGAATGCAATGGCGTGATATCGGCTCACCAAAACCTCCACCTCCCGGGTTCAAGTGATTCTCCTGCCTTAGCCTCCTGAGTAGCTGGAATTACATGCATGCACCACCATGCCCGGCTAATTTTGTATATTTAGTAAAGATGGGGTTTCTCCATGTTGGTCAGGCTGGTCTCGAACTCCCGACCTCAGGTGATCCACCTGCCTTGGCCTCCCAAAATGCTGGGATTACAGGCGTGAGCCACCGTGCTCGGCCTTTTTAACTTGAAACCGAGACGGTATCATGCAATTACTTCTGCAACACTCTTTTTTGAAGATTCTGCATGCGGATATTTGGATAGCTTTGAGGATTTCGTTGGAAACGGGCTTATATGTAAAAATTAGACAGCAGAGCATTCTCAGAAACTTTTTTGTGGTGTCTGCATTCAAGTCACAGAATTGAACTTCCCCTCACAAAGAGCAGTTGTGCAGCACTCTATTTGTAGTATCTGGAAGTGGACATTTGGAGGGCTTTGTAGCCTATCTGGAAAAGGAAATATCTTCCCATGAATGCGAGATAGAAGTAATCTCAGAAACATGTTTATGCTGTATCTACTCAACTAACTGTGCTGAACATTTCTATTGATAGAGCAGTTTTGAGACACTCTTCTTTTGGAATCTGCAAGTGGATATTTGGATAGATTTGAGGATTTCGTTGGAAACGGGATTATATATAAAAAGTAGACAGCAGCATTCTCAGAAACTTCTTTGTGATGTTTGCATCCAGCTCTCAGAGTTGAACATTCCCTTTCATAGAGTAGGTTTGAAACCCTCTTTTTATAGTGTCTGGAAGCGGGCATTTGGAGCGCTTTCAGGCCTATGCTTAAAATAGGAAATATCTACCTACAGAAACTAGACAGAAGCCTTCTGAGAATCACGTTTGTGATGTGGGTACTCAACTAACAGTGTTGATCCATTCTTTTGATACAGCAGTTTTGAACCACACTTTTTGTAGAATCTGCAAGAGGATATTTGGATAGCTGTGAGGATTTCGTTGGAAACGGGAATGTCTTCAAAGAAAATCTAGACAGAAGCATTCTCAGAAACACCTTCGTGATGTTTGCAATCAAGTCACAGAGTTGAACCTTCCGTTTCATAGAGCAGGTTGGAAACACTCTTTTTGTAGTATCTGGAAGTGGACATTTGGAGCGCTTTCAGGCCTATGGTGAAAAAGGAAATATCTTCCCATAAAAACGACATAGAAGCTATCTCAGGAACTTGTTTATGATGCATCTAATCAACTAACACTGTTGAACCTTTGTACTGACAGAGCAGTTTGAAACACTCTTTTTTTGGAATCTGCAAGTGGATATTTGGATCGCTTTGAGGATTTCGTTGGAAACGGGATGCAATATAAAACGTACACAGCAGCATACTCAGAAAATACTTTGCCATATTTCCATTCAAGTCACAGAGTGGAACATTCCCATTCATAGAGCAGGTTTGAAACACTCTTTTTGGAGTATCTGGAAGTGGACATTTGGAGCGCTTTCTGAACTATGGTGAAAAAGGAAATATCTTCCAATGAAAACAAGACAGAAGCATTCTGAGAAACTTATTTGTGATGTGTGTCCTCAACAAACGGACTTGAACCTTTCGTTTCATGCAGTACTTCTGGAACACTCTTTTTGAAGATTCTGCATGTGGATATTTGGATAGCTTTGAGGATTTCGTTGGAAACGGGCTTACATGTAAAAATTAGACAGCAGCATTCTCAGAAACTTCTTTGTGGTGTCTGCATTCAAGTCACAGAATTGAACATCCCCTCACATAGAGCAGTTGTGCAGCACTCTATTTGTAGTATCTGGAAGTGGACATTTGGAGGGCTTTGTAGCCTATCTGGAAAAAGGAAATATCTTCCCATGAATGCGAGATAGAAGTAATCTCAGAAACATGTTTATGCTGTATCTACTCAACTAACTGTGCTGAACATTTCTATTGATAGAGCAGTTTTGAGACACTCTTCTTTTGGAATCTGCAAGTGGATATTTGGATAGATTTGAGGATTTCGTTGGAAACGGGATTATATATCAAAAGTAGACAGCAGCATTCTCAGAAACTTCTTTGTGATGTTTGCATCCAGCTCTCAGAGTTGAACATTCCCTTTCATAGAGTAGGTTTGAAACCCTCTTTTTATAGTGTCTGGAAGCGGGCATTTGGAGCGCTTTCAGGCCTATGCTGAAAAAGGAAATATCTACCTATAGAAACTAGACAGAAGCATTCTGAGAATCACGTTTGTGATGTGGGTACTCAACTAACAGTGTTGATCCATTCTTTTGATACAGCAGTTTTGAACCACACTTTTTGTAGAATCTGCAAGTGGATATTTGGATAGCTGTGAGGATTTCGTTGGAAACGGGAATGTCTTCATAGAAAATTTAGACAGAAGCATTCTCAGAACCTTGATTGTGATGTGTGTTCTCCACTAACAGAGTTGAACCTTTCTTTTGACAGAACTGTTCTGAAACATTCTTTTTATAGAATCTGGAAGTGGATATTTGGAAAGCTTTGAGGATTTCGTTGGAAACGGGAATATCTTCAAATAAAATCTAGCCAGAAGCATTCTAAGAAACATCTTAGGGATGTTTACATTCAAGTCACAGAGTTGAACATTCCCTTTCACAGAGCAGGTTTGAAACAATCTTCTCGTACTATCTGGCAGTGGACATTTTGAGCTCCTTGGGGCCTATGCTGAAAAAGGAAATATCTTCCGACAAAAACTAGACAGAAGCATTCGCAGAATCACGTTTGTGATGTGTGCACTCAACTGTCAGAATTGAACCTTGGTTTGGACAGAGCACTTTTGAAACACTCTTTTTGTAGAATCTGCAGGTGGATATTTGGCTAGCTTTGAGGATTTCGTTGGAAACGGTAATGTCTTCAAAGAAAATCTAGACAGAAGCATTCTCAGAAACACCTTCGTGATGTTTGCAATCAAGTCACAGAGTTGAACCTTCCGTTTCATAGAGCAGGTTGGAAACACTCTTTTTGTAGTATCTGGAAGTGGACATTTGGAGCGCTTTCAGGCCTATGGTGAAAAAGGAAATATCTTCCCATAAAAACGACATAGAAGCTATCTCAGGAACTTGTTTATGATGCATCTAATCAACTAACAGTGTTGAACCTTTGTACTGACAGAGCAGTTTGAAACACTCTTTTTTTGGAATCTGCAAGTGGATATTTGGATCGCTTTGAGGATTTCATTGGAAACGGGATGCAATATAAAACGTACACAGCAGCATACTCAGAAAATACTTTGCCATATTTCCATTCAAGTCACAGAGTGGAACATTCCCATTCATAGAGCAGGTTGGAAACACTCTTTTTGGAGTATCTGGAAGTGGACATTTGGAGCGCTTTCTGAACTATGGTGAAAAAGGAAATATCTTCCAATGAAAACAAGACAGAAGCATTCTGAGAAACTTATTTGTGATGTGTGTCCTCAACAAACGGACTTGAACCTTTTGTTTCATGCAGTATTTCTGGAACACTCTTTTTGAAGATTCTGCATGCGGATATTTGGATAGCTTTGAGGATTTCGTTGGAAACGGGCTTACATGTAAAAATTAGACAGCAGCATTCTCAGAAACTTCTTTGTGGTGTCTGCATTCAAGTCACAGAATTGAACATCCCCTCACATAGAGCAGTTGTGCAGCACTCTATTTGTAGTATCTGGAAGTGGACATTTGGAGGGCTTTGTAGCCTATGTGGAAAAAGGAAATATCTTCCCATGAATGCGAGATAGAAGTAATCTCAGAAACATGTTTATGCTGTATCTACTCAACTAACTGTGCTGAACATTTCTATTGATAGAGCAGTTTTGAGACACTCTTCTTTTGGAATCTGCAAGTGGATATTTGGATAGATTTGAGGATTTCGTTGGAAACGGGATTATATATAAAAAGTAGACAGCAGCATTCTCAGAAACTTCTTTGTGATGTTTGCATCCAGCTCTCAGAGTTGAACATTCCCTTTCATAGAGTAGGTTTGAAACCCTCTTTTTATAGTGTCTGGAAGCGGGCATTTGGAGCGCTTTCAGGCCTATGCTGAAAAAGGAAATATCTACCTATAGAAACTAGACAGAAGCATTCTGAGAATCACGTTTGTGATGTGGGTACTCAACTAACAGTGTTGATCCATTCTTTTGATACAGCAGTTTTGAACCACACTTTTTGTAGAATCTGCAAGTGGATATTTGGATAGCTGTGAGGATTTCGTTGGAAACGGGAATGTCTTCATAGAAAATTTAGACAGAAGCATTCTCAGAACCTTGATTGTGATGTGTGTTCTCCACTAACAGAGTTGAACCTTTCTTTTGACAGAACTGTTCTGAAACATTCTTTTTATAGAATCTGGAAGTGGATATTTGGAAACCTTTGAGGATTTCGTTGGAAACGGGAATATCTTCAAATCAAATCTAGCCAGAAGCATTCTAAGAAACATCTTAGGGATGTTTACATTCAAGTCACAGAGTTGAACATTCCCTTTCACAGAGCAGGTTTGAAACAATCTTCTCGTACTATCTGGCAGTGGACATTTTGAGCTCTTTGGGGCCTATGCTGAAAAAGGAAATATCTTCCGACAAAAACTAGACAGAAGCATTCGCAGAATCAAGTTTGTGATGTGTGCACTCAACTGTCAGAATTGAACCTTGGTTTGGAGAGAGCACTTTTGAAACACTCTTTTTGTAGAATCTGCAGGTGGATATTTGGCTAGCTTTGAGGATTTCGTTGGAAACGGTAATGTCTTCAAAGAAAATCTAGACAGAAGCATTCTCAGAAACACCTTCGTGATGTTTGCAATCAAGTCACAGAGTTGAACCTTCCGTTTCATAGAGCAGGTTGGAAACACTCTTTTTGTAGTATCTGGAAGTGGACATTTGGAGGGCTTTGTAGCCTATCTGGAAAAAGGAAATATCTTCCCATGAATGCGAGATAGAAGTAATCTCAGAAACATGTTTATGCTGTATCTACTCAACTAACTGTGCTGAACATTTCTATTGATAGAGCAGTTTTCAGACACTCTTCTTTTGGAATCTGCAAGTGGATATTTGGATAGATTTGAGGATTTCGTTGGAAACGGGATTATATATAAAAAGTAGACAGCAGCATTCTCAGAAACTTCTTTGTGATGTTTGCATCCAGCTCTCAGAGTTGAACATTCCCTTTCATAGAGTAGGTTTGAAACCCTCTTTTTATAGTGTCCGGAAGCGGGCATTTGGAGCGCTTTCAGGCCTATGCTGAAAAAGGAAATATCTACCTACAGAAACTAGACAGAAGCATTCTGAGAATCACGTTTGTGATGTGGGTACTCAACTAACAGTGTTGATCCATTCTTTTGATACAGCAGTTTTGAACCACACTTTTTGTAGAATCTGCAAGTGGATATTTGGATAGCTGTGAGGATTTCGTTGGAAACGGGAATGTCTTCATAGAAAATTTAGACAGAAGCATTCTCAGAACCTTGATTGTGATGTGTGTTCTCCACTAACAGAGTTGAACCTTTCTTTTGACAGAACTGTTCTGAAACATTCTTTTTATAGAATCTGGAAGTGGATATTTGGAAAGCTTTGAGGATTTCGTTGGAAACGGGAATATCTTCAAATAAAATCTAGCCAGAAGCATTCTAAGAAACATCTTAGGGATGTTTACATTCAAGTCACAGAGTTGAACATTCCCTTTCACAGAGCAGGTTTGAAACAATCTTCTCGTACTATCTGGCAGTGGACATTTTGAGCTCCTTTGGGCCTATGGTGAAAAAGGAAATATCTTCCGACAAAAACTAGACAGAAGCATTCGCAGAATCACGTTTGTGATGTGTGCACTCAACTGTCAGAATTGAACCTTGGTTTGGACAGAGCACTTTTGAAACACTCTTTTTGTAGAATCTGCAGGTGGATATTTGGCTAGCTCTGAGGATTTCGTTGGAAACGGTAATGTCTTCAAAGAAAATCTAGACAGAAACATTCTCAGAAACACCTTCGTGATGTTTGCAATCAAGTCACAGAGTTGAACCTTCCGTTTCATAGAGCAGATTGGAAACACTCTTTTTGTAATATCTGGAAGTGGACATTTGGAGCGCTTTCAGTCCTATGGTGAAGAAGGAAATATCTTCCCATAAAAACGACATAGAAGCTATCTCAGGAACTTGTTTATGATGCATCCAATCAACTAACAGTGTTGAACTTTTGTACTGACAGAGCAGTGTGAAACACTCTTTTTTTTGGAATCTGCAAGTGGATATTTGGATCGCTTTGAGGATTTCGTTGGAAACGGGATGCAATATAAATCGTACACAGCAGCATACTCAGAAAATACTTTGCCATATTTCCATTCAAGTCACAGAGTGGAACATTCCCATTCATAGAGCAGGTTGGAAACACTCTTTTTGGAGTATCTGGAAGTGGACATTTGGAGCGCTTTCTGAACTATGGTGAAAAAGGAAATATCTTCCAATGAAAACAAGACAGAAGCATTCTGAGAAACTTATTTGTGATGTGTGTCCTCAACTAACGGACTTGAACCTTTCGTTTCATGCAGTATTTCTGGAACACTCTTTTTGAAGATTCTGCATGCGGATATTTGGATAGCTTTGAAGATTTCGTTGGAAACGGGCTTACATATAAAAATTAGACAGCAGCATTCTCAGAAACTTCTTTGTGGTGTCTGCATTCAAGTCACAGAATTGAACATCCCCTCACATAGAGCAGCTGTGCAGCACTCTATTTGTAGTATCTCGAAGTGGACATTTGGAGGGCTTTGTAGCCTATCTGGAAAAAGGAAATATCTTCCCATGAATGCGAGATAGAAGTAATCTCAGAAACATGTTCATGCTGTATCTACTCAACTAACTGTGCTGAACATTTCTATTGATAGAGCAGTTTTGAGACACTCTTCTTTTGGAATCTGCAAGTGGATATTTGGATAGATTTGAGGATTTCGTTGGAAACGGGATTATATATAAAAAGTAGACAGCAGCATTCTCAGAAACTTCTTTGTGATGTTTGCATCCAGCTCTCAGAGTTGAACATTCCCTTTCATAGAGTAGGTTTGAAACCCTCTTTTTATAGTGTCTGGAAGCGGGCATTTGGAGCGCTTTCAGGCCTATGCTGAAAAAGGAAATATCTACCTATAGAAACTAGACAGAAGCATTCTGAGAATCACGTTTGTGATGTGGGTACTCAACTAACAGTGTTGATCCATTCTTTTGATACAGCAGTTTTGAACCACACTTTTTGTAGAATCTGCAAGTGGATATTTGGATAGCTGTGAGGATTTCGGTGGAAACGGGAATGTCTTCATAGAAAATGTAGACAGAAGCATTCTCAGAACCTTGATTGTGATGTGTGTTCTCCACTAACAGAGTTGAACCTTTCTTTTGACAGAACTGTTCTGAAACATTCTTTTTATAGAATCTGGAAGTGGATATTTGGAAAGCTTTGAGGATTTCGTTGGAAACGGGAATATCTTCAAATAAAATCTAGCCAGAAGCATTCTAATAAACATCTTAGGGATGTTTACATTCAAGTCACAGAGTCGAACATTCCCTTTCGCAGAGCAGGTTTGAAACAATCTTCTCGTACTATCTGGAAGTGGACATTTTGAGCTCCTTGGGGCCTATGCTGAAAAAGGAAATATCTTCCGACAAAAACTAGACAGAAGCATTCGCAGAATCACGTTTGTGATGTGTGCACTCAACTGTCAGAATTGAACCTTGGTTTGGACAGAGCACTTTTGAAACACTCTTTTTGTAGAATCTGCAGGTGGATATTTGGCTAGCTTTGAGGATTTCGTTGGAAACGGTAATGTCTTCAAAGAAAATCTAGACAGAAACATTCTCAGAAACACCTTCGTGATGTTTGCAATCAAGTCACAGAGTTGAACCTTCCGTTTCATAGAGCAGGTTGGAAACACTCTTTTTGTAGTTTCTGGAAGTGGACAATTGGAGCGCTTTCAGGCCTCTGGTGAAAAAGGAAATATCTTCCCATAAAAACAACATAGAAGCTATCTCAGGAACTTGTTTATGATGCATCTAATCAACTAACAGTGTTGAACCTTTGTACTGACAGAGCAGTTTGAAACACTCTTTTTTTGGAATCTGAAAGTGGATATTTGGATCGCTTTGAGGATTTCGTTGGAAACGGGATGCAATATAAAACGTACACAGCAGCATACTCAGAAAATACTTTGCCATATTTCCATTCAAGTCACAGAGTGGAACATTCCCATTCATAGAGCAGGTTGGAAACACTCTTTTTGGAGTATCTGGAAGTGGACATTTGGAGCGCTTTCTGAACTATGGTGAAAAAGGAAATATCTTCTAATGAAAACAAGACAGAAGCATTCTGAGAAACTTATTTGTGATGTGTGTCCTCAACAAACGGACTTGAACCTTTCGTTTCATGCAGTACTTCTGGAACACTCTTTTTGAAGATTCTGCATGCGGATATTTGGATAGCTTTGAGGATTTCGTTGGAAACGGGCTTACATGTAAAAATTAGACAGCAGCATTCTCAGAAACTTCTTTGTGGTGTCTGCATTCAAGTCACAGAATTGAACTTCCCCTCACATAGAGCAGTTGTGCAGCACTCTATTTGTAGTATCTGGAAGTGGACATTTGGAGGGCTTTGTAGCCTATCTGGAAAAAGGAAATATCTTCCCATGAATGCGAGATAGAAGTAATCTCAGAAACATGTTTATGCTGTATCTACTCAACTAACTGTGCTGAACATTTCTATTGATAGAGCAGTTTTGAGACACTCTTCTTTTGGAATCTGCAAGTGGATATTTGGATAGATTTGAGGATTTCGTTGGAAACGGGATGATATATAAAAAGTAGACAGCAGCATTCTCAGAAACTTCTTTGTGATGTTTGCATCCAGCTCTCAGAGTTGAACATTCCCTTTCATAGAGTAGGTTTGAAACCCTCTTTTTATAGTGTCTGGAAGCGGGCATTTGGAGCGCTTTCAGGCCTATGCTGAAAAAGGAAATATCTACATATAGAAACTAGACAGAAGCATTCTGAGAATCACGTTTGTGATGTGGGTACTCAACTAACAGTGTTGATCCATTCTTTTGATACAGCAGTTTTGAACCACACTTTTTGTAGAATCTGCAAGTGGATATTTGGATAGCTGTGAGGATTTCGTTGGAAACGGGAATGTCTTCATAGAAAATTTAGACAGAAGCATTCTCAGAACCTTGATTGTGATGTGTGTTCTCCACTAACAGCAGTTGAACCTTTCTTTTGACAGAACTGTTCTGAAACATTCTTTTTATAGAATCTGGAAGTGGATATTTGGAAAGCTTTGAGGATTTCGTTGGAAACGGGAATATCTTCAAATCAAATCTAGCCAGAAGCATTCTAAGAAACATCTTAGGGATGTTTACATTCAAGTCACAGAGTTGAACATTCCCTTTCACAGAGCAGGTTTGAAACAATCTTCTCGTACTATCTGGCAGTGGACATTTTGAGCTCCTTGGGGCCTATGCTGAAAAAGGAAATATCTTCCGACAAAAACTAGACAGAAGCATTCGCAGAATCACGTTTGTGATGTGTGCACTCAACTGTCAGAATTGAACCTTGGTTTGGACAGAGCACTTTTGAAACACTCTTTTTGTAGAATCTGCAGGTGGATATTTGGCTAGCTCTGAGGATTTCATTGGAAACGGTAATGTCTTCAAAGAAAATCTAGACAGAAGCATTCTCAGAAACACCTTCGTGATGTTTGCAATCAAGTCACAGAGTTGAACCTTCCGTTTCATAGAGCAGGTTGGAAACACTCTTTTTGTAGTATCTGGAAGTGGACATTTGGAGCGCTTTCAGGCCTATGGTGAAAAAGGAAATATCTTCCCATAAAAACGACATAGAAGCTA
Organism: Homo sapiens; assembly: GCF_000001405.40. Lineage (NCBI taxonomy): Eukaryota > Metazoa > Chordata > Mammalia > Primates > Hominidae > Homo > Homo sapiens. The sequence goes on from NC_000008.11 coordinate 45,206,915, forward strand.
TCTCAGGAACTTGTTTATGATGCATCTAATCAACTAAGAGTGTTGAACCTTTGTACTGACAGAGCAGTTTGAAACACTCTTTTTTTGGAATCTGCAAGTGGATATTTGGATCGCTTTGAGGATTTCGTTGGAAACGGGATGCAATATAAAACGTACACAGCAGCATACTCAGAAAATACTTTGCCATATTTCCATTCAAGTCACAGAGTGGAACATTCCCATTCATAGAGCAGGTTTGAAACACTCTTTTTGGAGTATCTGGAAGTGGACATTTGGAGCGCTTTCTGAACTATGGTGAAAAAGGAAATATCTTCCAATGAAAACAAGACAGAAGCATTCTGAGAAACTTATTTGTGATGCGTGTCCTCAACTAACGGACTCGAACCTTTCGTTTCATGCAGTACTTCTGGAACACTCTTTTTGAAGATTCTGCATGCGGATATTTGGATAGCTTTGAGGATTTCGTTGGAAACGGGCTTACATATAAAAATTAGACAGCAGCATTCTCAGAAACTTCTTTGTGGTGTCTGCATTCAAGTCACAGAATTGAACTTCCCCTCACATAGAGCAGTTGTGCAGCACTCTATTTGTAGTATCTGGAAGTGGACATTTGGAGGGCTTTGTAGCCTATCTGGAAAAAGGAAATATCTTCCCATGAATGCGAGATAGAAGTAATCTCAGAAACATGTTTATGCTGTATCTACTCAACTAACTGTGCTGAACATTTCTATTGATAGAGCAGTTTTGAGACCCTCTTCTTTTGGAATCTGCAAGTGGATATTTGGATAGATTTGAGGATTTCGTTGGAAACGGGATTATATATAAAAAGTAGACAGCAGCATTCTCAGAAACTTCTTTGTGATGTTTGCATCCAGCTCTCAGAGTTGAACATTCCCTTTCATAGAGTAGGTTTGAAACCCTCTTTTTATAGTGTCTGGAAGCGGGCATTTGGAGCGCTTTCAGGCCTATGCTGAAAAAGGAAATATCTACATATAGAAACTAGACAGAAGCATTCTGAGAATCACGTTTGTGATGTGGGTACTCAACTAACAGTGTTGATCCATTCTTTTGATACAGCAGTTTTGAACCACACTTTTTGTAGAATCTGCAAGTGGATATTTGGATAGCTGTGAGGATTTCGTTGGAAACGGGAATGTCTTCATAGAAAATTTAGACAGAAGCATTCTCAGAACCTTGATTGTGATGTGTGTTCTCCACTAACAGAGTTGAACCTTTCTTTTGACAGAACTGTTCTGAAACATTCTTTTTATAGAATCTGGAAGTGGATATTTGGAAAGCTTTGAGGATTTCGTTGGAAACGGGAATATCTTCAAATCAAATCTAGCCAGAAGCATTCTAAGAAACATCTTAGGGATGTTTACATTCAAGTCACAGAGTTGAACATTCCCTTTCACAGAGCAGGTTTGAAACAATCTTCTCGTACTATCTGGCAGTGGACATTTTGAGCTCCTTGGGGCCTATGCTGAAAAAGGAAATATCTTCCGACAAAAACTAGACAGAAGCATTCGCAGAATCACGTTTGTGATGTGTGCACTCAACTGTCAGAATTGAACCTTGGTTTGGACAGAGCACTTTTGAAACACTCTTTTTGTAGAATCTGCAGGTGGATATTTGGCTAGCTTTGAGGATTTCGTTGGAAACGGTAATGTCTTCAAAGAAAATCTAGACAGAAGCATTCTCAGAAACAACTTCGTGATGTTTGCAATCAAGTCACAGAGTTGAACCTTCCGTTTCATAGAGCAGGTTGGAAACACACTTTTTGTAGTATCTGGAAGTGGACATTTGGAGGGCTTTGTAGCCTATCTGGAAAAAGGAAATATCTTCCCATGAATGCGAGATAGAAGTAATCTCAGAAACATGTTTATGCTGTATCTACTCAACTAACTGTGCTGAACATTTCTATTGATAGAGCAGTTTTGAGACACTCTTCTTTTGGAATCTGCAAGTGGATATTTGGATAGATTTGAGGATTTCGTTGGAAACGGGATTATATATAAAAAGTAGACAGCAGCATTCTCAGAAACTTCTTTGTGATGTTTGCATCCAGCTCTCAGAGTTGAACATTCCCTTTCATAGAGTAGGTTTGAAACCCTCTTTTTATAGTGTCTGGAAGCGGGCATTTGGAGCGCTTTCAGGCCTATGCTTAAAATAGGAAATATCTACCTACAGAAACTAGACAGAAGCATTCTGAGAATCACGTTTGTGATGTGGGTACTCAACTAACAGTGTTGATCCATTCTTTTGATACAGCAGTTTTGAACCACACTTTTTGTAGAATCTGCAAGAGGATATTTGGATAGCTGTGAGGATTTCGTTGGAAACGGGAAAGTCTTCAAAGAAAATCTAGACAGAAGCATTCTCAGAACCTTGATTGTGATGTGTGTTCTCCACTAACAGAGTTGAACCTTTCTTTTGACAGAACTGTTCTGAAACATTCTTTTTATAGAATCTGGAAGTGGATATTTGGAAAGCTTTGAGGATTTCGTTGGAAACGGGAATATCTTCAAATCAAATCTAGCCAGAAGCATTCTAAGAAACATCTTAGGGATGTTTACATTCAAGTCACAGAGTTGAACATTCCCTTTCACAGAGCAGGTTTGAAACAATCTTCTCGTACTATCTGGAAGTGGACATTTTGAGCTCCTTGGGGCCTATGCTGAAAAAGGAAATATCTTCCGACAAAAACTAGACAGAAGCATTCGCAGAATCACGTTTGTGATGTGTGCACTCAACTGTCAGAATTGAACCTTGGTTTGGACAGAGCACTTTTGAAACACTCTTTTTGTAGAATCTGCAGGTGGATATTTGGCTAGCTTTGAGGATTTCGTTGGAAACGGTAATGTCTTCAAAGAAAATCTAGACAGAAGCATTCTCAGAAACACCTTCGTGATGTTTGCAATCAAGTCACAGAGTTGAACCTTCCGTTTCATAGAGCAGGTTGGAAACACTCTTTTTGTAGTATCTGGAAGTGGACATTTGGAGGGCTTTGTAGCCTATGTGGAAAAAGGAAATATCTTCCCATGAATGCGAGATAGAAGTAATCTCAGAAACATGTTTATGCTGTATCTACTCAACTAACTGTGCTGAACATTTCTATTGATAGAGCAGTTTTGAGACACTCTTCTTTTGGAATCTGCAAGTGGATATTTGGAGAGATTTGAGGATTTCGTTGGAAACGGGATTATATATAAAAAGTAGACAGCAGCATTCTCAGAAACTTCTTTGTGATGTTTGCATCCAGCTCTCAGAGTTGAACATTCCCTTTCATAGAGTAGGTTTGAAACCCTCTTTTTATAGTGTCTGGAAGCGGGCATTTGGAGCGCTTTCAGGCCTATGCTTAAAATAGGAAATATCTACCTACAGAAACTAGACAGAAGCATTCTGAGAATCTCGTTTGTGATGTGGGTACTCAACTAACAGTGTTGATCCATTCTTTTGATACAGCAGTTTTGAACCACACTTTTTGTAGAATCTGCAAGAGGATATTTGGATAGCTGTGAGGATTTCGTTGGAAACGGGGATGTCTTCAAAGAAAATCTAGACAGAAGCATTCTCAGAAATACCTTCGTGATGTTTGCAATCAAGTCACAGAGTTGAACCTTCCGTTTCATAGAGCAGGTTGGAAACACTCTTATTGTAGTATCTGGAAGTGGACATTTGGAGCGCTTTCAGGCCTATGGTGAAAAAGGAAATATCTTCCCATAAAAACGATATAGAAGCTATCTCAGGAACTTGTTTATGATGCATCTAATCAACTAACAGTGTTGAACTTTTGTACTGACAGAGCAGTTTGAAACACTCTTTTTTTGGAATCTGCAAGTGGATATTTGGATCGCTTTGAGGATTTCGTTGGAAACGGGATGCAATATAAAACGTACACAGCAGCATACTCAGAAAATACTTTGCCATATTTCCATTCAAGTCACAGAGTGGAACATTCCCATTCATAGAGCAGGTTTGAAACACTCTTTTTGGAGTATCTGGAAGTGGACATTTGGAGCGCTTTCTGAACTATGGTGAAAAAGGAAATATCTTCCAATGAAAACAAGACAGAAGCATTCTGAGAAACTTATTTGTGATGTGTGTCCTCAACAAACGGACTTGAACCTTTCGTTTCATGCAGTACTTCTGGAACACTCTTTTTGAAGATTCTGCATGCGGATATTTGGATAGCTTTGAGGATTTCGTTGGAAACGGGCTTACATGTAAAAATTAGACAGCAGCATTCTCAGAAACTTCTTTGTGGTGTCTGCATTCAAGTCACAGAATTGAACTTCCCCTCACATAGAGCAGTTGTGCAGCACTCTATTTGTAGTATCTGGAAGTGGACATTTGGAGGGCTTTGTAGCCTATCTGGAAAAAGGAAATATCTTCCCATGAATGCGAGATAGAAGTAATCTCAGAAACATGTTTATGCTGTATCTACTCAACTAACTGTGCTGAACATTTCTATTGATAGAGCAGTTTTGAGACACTCTTCTTTTGGAATCTGCAAGTGGATATTTGGATAGATTTGAGGATTTCGTTGGAAACGGGATTATATATCAAAAGTAGACAGCAGCATTCTCAGAAACTTCTTTGTGATGTTTGCATCCAGCTCTCAGAGTTGAACATTCCCTTTCATAGAGTAGGTTTGAAACCCTCTTTTTATAGTGTCTGGAAGCGGGCATTTGGAGCGCTTTCAGGCCTATGCTTAAAATAGGAAATATCTACCTACAGAAACTAGACAGAAGCATTCTGAGAATCACGTTTGTGATGTGGGTACTCAACTAACAGTGTTGATCCATTCTTTTGATACAGCAGTTTTGAACCACACTTTTTGTAGAATCTGCAAGTGGATATTTGGATAGCTGTGAAGATTTCGTTGGAAACGGTAATGTCTTCAAAGAAAATCTAGACAGAAGCATTCTCAGAAACACCTTCGTGATGTTTGCAATCAAGTCACAGAGTTGAACCTTCCGTTTCATAGAGCAGGTTGGAAACACTCTTATTGTAGTATCTGGAAGTGGACATTTGGAGCGCTTTCAGGCCTATGGTGAAAAAGGAAATATCTTCCCATAAAAACGACATAGAAGCTATCTCAGGAACTTGTTTATGATGCATCTAATCAACTAACAGTGTTGAACCTTTGTACTGACAGAGCAGTTTGAAACACTCTTTTTTTGGAATCTGCAAGTGGATATTTGGATCGCTTTGAGGATTTCGTTGGAAACGGGATGCAATATAAAACGTACACAGCAGCATACTCAGAAAATACTTTGCCATATTTCCATTCAAGTCACAGAGCGGAACATTCCCATTCATAGAGCAGGTTTGAAACACTCTTTTTGGAGTATCTGGAAGTGGACATTTGGAGCGCTTTCTGAACTATGGTGAAAAAGGAAATATCTTCCAATGAAAACAAGACAGAAGCATTCTGAGAAACTTATTTGTGATGTGTGTCCTCAACAAACGGACTTGAACCTTTCGTTTCATGCAGTACTTCTGGAACACTCTTTTTGAAGATTCTGCATGCGGATATTTGGATAGCTTTGAGGATTTCGTTGGAAACGGGCTTACATGTAAAAATTAGACAGCAGCATTCTCAGAAACTTCTTTGTGGTGTCTGCATTCAAGTCACAGAATTGAACATCCCCTCACATAGAGCAGTTGTGCAGCACTCTATTTGTAGTATCTGGAAGTGGACATTTGGAGGGCTTTGTAGCCTATCTGGAAAAAGGAAATATCTTCCCATGAATGCGAGATAGAAGTAATCTCAGAAACATGTTTATGCTGTATCTACTCAACTAACTGTGCTGAACATTTCTATTGATAGAGCAGTTTTGAGACACTCTTCTTTTGGAATCTGCAAGTGGATATTTGGATAGATTTGAGGATTTCGTTGGAAACGGGATTATATATAAAAAGTAGACAGCAGCATTCTCAAAACTTCTTTGTGATGTTTGCATCCAGCTCTCAGAGTTGAACATTCCCTTTCATAGAGTAGGTTTGAAACCCCCTTTTTATAGTGTCTGGAAGCGGGCATTTGGAGCGCTTTCAGGCCTATGCTGAAAAAGGAAATATCTACCTACAGAAACTAGACAGAAGCATTCTGAGAATCACGTTTGTGATGTGGGTACTCAACTAACAGTGTTGATCCATTCTTTTGATACAGCAGTTTTGAACCACCCTTTTCGTAGAATCTGCAAGTGGATATTTGGATAGCTGTGAGGATTTCGTTGGAAACGGGAATGTCTTCATAGAAAATTTAGACAGAAGCATTCTCAGAACCTGGATTGTGATGTGTTCTCCACTAACAGAGTTGAACCTTTCTTTGGACAGAACTGTTTTGAAACATTCTTTTTATAGAATCTGGAAGTGTATATTTGGAAAGCTTTGAGGATTTCGTTGGAAACGGGAATATCTTCAAATCAAATCTAGCCAGAAGCATTCTAAGAAACATCTTAGGGATGTTTACATTCAAGTCACAGAGTTGAACATTCCCTTTCACAGAGCAGGTTTGAAACAATCTTCTCGTACTATCTGGCAGTGGACATTTTGAGCTCCTTGGGGCCTATGCTGAAAAAGGAAATATCTTCCGACAAAAACTAGACAGAAGCATTCGCAGAATCACGTTTGTGATGTGTGCACTCAACTGTCAGATTTGAACCTTGGTTTGGACAGAGCACTTTTGAAACACTCTTTTTGTAGAATCTGCAGGTGGATATTTGGCTAGCTTTGAGGATTTCGTTGGAAACGGTAATGTCTTCAAAGAAAATCTAGACAGAAGCATTCTCAGAAACACCTTCGTGATGTTTGCAATCAAGTCACAGAGTTGAACCTTCCGTTTCATAGAGCAGGTTGGAAACACTCTTTTTGTAGTATCTGGAAGTGGACATTTGGAGGGCTTTGTAGCCTATCTGGAAAAAGGAAATATCTTCCCATGAATGCGAGATAGAAGTAATCTCAGAAACATGTTTATGCTGTATCTACTCAACTAACTGTGCTGAACATTTCTATTGATAGAGCAGTTTTGAGACACTCTTCTTTTGGAATCTGCAAGTGGATATTTGGATAGATTTGAGGATTTCGTTGGAAACGGGATTATATATCAAAAGTTGACAGCAGCATTCTCAGAAACTTCTTTGTGATGTTTGCATCCAGCTCTCAGAGTTGAACATTCCCTTTCATAGAGTAGGTTTGAAACCCTCTTTTTATAGTGTCTGGAAGCGGGCATTTGGAGCGCTTTCAGGCCTATGCTTAAAATAGGAAATATCTACCTACAGAAACTAGACAGAAGCATTCTGAGAATCACGTTTGTGATGTGGGTACTCAACTAACAGTGTTGATCCATTCTTTTGATACAGCAGTTTTGAACCACACTTTCTGTAGAATCTGCAAGAGGATATTTGGATAGCTGTGAGGATTTCGTTGGAAACGGGAATGTCTTCAAAGAAAATCTAGACAGAAGCATTCTCAGAACCTTGATTGTGATGTGTGTTCTCCACTAACAGAGTTGAACCTTTCTTTTGACAGAACTGTTCTGAAACATTCTTTTTATAGAATCTGGAAGTGGATATTTGGAAAGCTTTGAGGATTTCGTTGGAAACGGGAATATCTTCAAATCAAATCTAGCCAGAAGCATTCTAAGAAACATCTTAGGGATGATTACATTCAAGTCACAGAGTTGAACATTCCCTTTCACAGAGCAGGTTTGAAACAATCTTCTCGTACTATCTGGCAGTGGACATTTTGAGCTCCTTGGGGCCTATGCTGAAAAAGGAAATATCTTCCGACAAAAACTAGACAGAAGCATTCGCAGAATCACGTTTGTGATGTGTGCACTCAACTGTCAGAATTGAACCTTGGTTTGGACAGAGCACTTTTGAAACACTCTTTTTGTAGAATCTGCAGGTGGATATTTGGCTAGCTTTGAGGATTTCGTTGGAAACGGTAATGTCTTCAAAGAAAATCTAGACAGAAACATTCTCAGAAACACCTTCGTGATGTTTGCAATCAAGTCACAGAGTTGAACCTTCCGTTTCATAGAGCAGGTTGGAAACACTCTTTTTGTAGTTTCTGGAAGTGGACAATTGGAGCGCTTTCAGGCCTCTGGTGAAAAAGGAAATATCTTCCCATAAAAACAACATAGAAGCTATCTCAGGAACTTGTTTATGATGCATCTAATCAACTAACAGTGTTGAACCTTTGTACTGACAGAGCAGTTTGAAACACTCTTTTTTTGGAATCTGCAAGTGGATATTTGGATCGCTTTGAGGATTTCGTTGGAAACGGGATGCAATATAAAACGTACACAGCAGCATACTCAGAAAATACTTTGCCATATTTCCATTCAAGTCACAGAGTGGAACATTCCCATTCATAGAGCAGGTTTGAAACACTCTTTTTGGAGTATCTGGAAGTGGACATTTGGAGCGCTTTCTGAACTATGGTGAAAAAGGAAATATCTTCCAATGAAAACAAGACAGAAGCATTCTGAGAAACTTATTTGTGATGTGTGTCCTCAACAAACGGACTTGAACCTTTCGTTTCATGCAGTACTTCTGGAACACTCTTTTTGAAGATTCTGCATGCGGATATTTGGATAGCTTTGAGGATTTCGTTGGAAACGGGCTTACATGTAAAAATTAGACAGCAGCATTCTCAGAAACTTCTTTGTGGTGTCTGCATTCAAGTCACAGAATTGAACTTCCCCCTCACATAGAGCAGTTGTGCAGCACTCTATTTGTAGTATCTGGAAGTGGACATTTGGAGGGCTTTGTAGCCTATCTGGAAAAAGGAAATATCTTCCCATGAATGCGAGATAGAAGTAATCTCAGAAACATGTTTATGCTGTATCTATTCAACTAACTGTGCTGAACATTTCTATTGATAGAGCAGTTTTGAGACACTCTTCTTTTGGAATCTGCAAGTGGATATTTGGATAGATTTGAGGATTTCGTTGGAAACGGGATTATATATAAAAAGTAGACAGCAGCATTCTCAGAAACTTCTTTGTGATGTTTGCATCCAGCTCTCAGAGTTGAACATTCCCTTTCATAGAGTAGGTTTGAAACCCTCTTTTTATAGTGTCTGGAAGCGGGCATTTGGAGCGCTTTCAGGCCTATGCTGAAAAAGGAAATATCTACCTATAGAAACTAGACAGAAGCATTCTGAGAATCACGTTTGTGATGTGGGTACTCAACTAACAGTGTTGATCCATTCTTTTGATACAGCAGTTTTGAACCACACTTTTTGTAGAATCTGCAAGTGGATATTTGGATAGCTGTGAGGATTTCGTTGGAAACGGGAATGTCTTCATAGAAAATTTAGACAGAAGCATTCTCAGAACCTTGATTGTGATGTGTGTTCTCCACTAACAGAGTTGAACCTTTCTTTTGACAGAACTGTTCTGAAACATTCTTTTTATAGAATCTGGAAGTGGATATTTGGAAAGCTTTGAGGATTTCGTTGGAAACGGGAATATCTTCAAATCAAATCTAGCCAGAAGCATTCTAAGAAACATCTTAGGGATGTTTACATTCAAGTCACAGAGTTGAACATTCCCTTTCACAGAGCAGGTTTGAAACAATCTTCTCGTACTATCTGGCAGTGGACATTTTGAGCTCCTTGGGGCCTATGCTGAAAAAGGAAATATCTTCCGACAAAAACTAGACAGAAGCATTCGCAGAATCACGTTTGTGATGTGTGCACTCAACTGTCAGAATTGAACCTTGGTTTGGACAGAGCACTTTTGAAACACTCTTTTTGTAGAATCTGCAGGTGGATATTTGGCTAGCTTTGAGGATTTCGTTGGAAACGGTAATGTCTTCAAAGAAAATCTAGACAGAAGCATTCTCAGAAACACCTTCATGATGTTTGCAATCAAGTCACAGAGTTGAACCTTCCGTTTCATAGAGCAGGTTGGAAACACTCTTTTTGTAGTATCTGGAAGTGGACATTTGGAGGGCTTTGTAGCCTATCTGGAAAAAGGAAATATATTCCCATGAATGCGAGATAGAAGTAATCTCAGAAACATGTTTATGCTGTATCTACTCAACTAACTGTGCTGAACATTTCTATTGATAGAGCAGTTTTGAGACACTCTTCTTTTGGAATCTGCAAGTGGATATTTGGATAGATTTGAGGATTTCGTTGGAAACGGGATTATATATAAAAAGTAGACAGCAGCATTCTCAGAAACTTCTTTGTGATGTTTGCATCCAGCTCTCAGAGTTGAATATTCCCTTTCATAGAGTAGGTTTGAAACCCTCTTTTTATAGTGTCTGGAAGCGGGCATTTGGAGCGCTTTCAGGCCTATGCTTAAAATAGGAAATATCTACCTACAGAAACTAGACAGAAGCATTCTGAGAATCACGTTTGTGATGTGGGTACTCAACTAACAGTGTTGATCTATTCTTTTGATACAGCAGTTTTGAACCACACTTTTTGGAGAACCTGCAAGAGGATATTTGGATAGCTGTGAGGATTTCGTTGGAAACGGGAATGTCTTCAAAGAAAATCTAGACAGAAGCATTCTCAGAAATACCTTCGTGATGTTTGCAATCAAGTCACAGAGTTGAACCTTCCGTTTCATAGAGCAGGTTGGAAACACTCTTATTGTAGTATCTGGAAGTGGACATTTGGAGCGCTTTCAGGCCTATGGTGAAAAAGGAAATATCTTCCCATAAAAACGATATAGAAGCTATCTCAGGAACTTGTTTATGATGCATCTAATCAACTAACAGTGTTGAACCTTTGTACTGACAGAGCAGTTTGAAACACTCTTTTTTTGGAATCTGCAAGTGGATATTTGGATCGCTTTGAGGATTTCGTTGGAAACGGGATGCAATATAAAACGTACACAGCAGCATACTCAGAAAATACTTTGCCATATTTCCATTCAAGTCACAGAGTGGAACATTCCCATTCATAGAGCAGGTTGGAAACACTCTTTTTGGAGTATCTGGAAGTGGACATTTGGAGCGCTTTCTGAACTATGGTGAAAAAGGAAATATCTTCCAATGAAAACAAGACAGAAGCATTCTGAGAAACTTATTTGTGATGTGTGTCCTCAACAAACGGACTTGAAACTTTCGTTTCATGCAGTACTTCTGGAACACTTTTTGAAGATTCTGCATGCGGATATTTGGATAGCTTTGAGGATTTCGTTGGAAACGGGCTTACATGTAAAAATTAGACAGCAGCATTCTCAGAAACTTCTTTGTCGTGTCTGCATTCAAGTCACAGAGTTGAACTTCCCCTCACATAGAGCAGTTGTGCAGCACTCTATTTGTAGTATCTGGAAGTGGACATTTGGAGGGCTTTGTAGCCTATCTGGAAAAAGGAAATATCTTCCCATGAATGCGAGATAGAAGTAATCTCAGAAACATGTTTATGCTGTATCTACTCAACTAACTGTGCTGAACATTTCTATTGATAGAGCAGTTTTGAGACACTCTTCTTTTGGAATCTGCAAGTGGATATTTGGATAGATTTGAGGATTTCGTTGGAAACGGGATTATATATCAAAAGTAGACAGCAGCATTCTCAGAAACTTCTTTGTGATGTTTGCTTCCAGCTCTCAGAGTTGAACATTCCCTTTCATAGAGTAGGTTTGAAACCCTCTTTTTATAGTGTCTGGAAGCGGGCATTTGGAGCGCTTTCAGGCCTATGCTGAAAAAGGAAATATCTACCTATAGAAACTAGACAGAAGCATTCTGAGAATCACGTTTGTGATGTGGGTACTCAACTAACAGTGTTGATCCATTCTTTTGATACAGCAGTTTTGAACCACACTTTTTGTAGAATCTGCAAGTGGATATTTGGATAGCTGTGAGGATTTCGTTGGAAACGGGAATGTCTTCATAGAAAATTTAGACAGAAGCATTCTCAGAAACACCTTCGTGATGTTTGCAATCAAGTCACAGAGTTGAACCTTCCGTTTCATAGAGCAGGTTGGAAACACTCTTATTGTAGTATCTGGAAGGGGACATTTGGAGCGCTTTCAGGCCTATGGTGAAAAAGGAAATATCTTCCCATAAAAACGACATAGAAGCTGTCTCAGGAACTTGTTTATGATGCATCTAATCAACTAACAGTGTTGAACCTTTGTACTGACAGAGCAGTTTGAAACACTCTTTTTTTGGAATCTGCAAGTGGATATTTGGATCGCTTTGAGGATTTCGTTGGAAACGGGATGCAATATAAAACGTACACAGCAGCATACTCAGAAAATACTTTGCCATATTTCCATTCAAGTCACAGAGTGGAACATTCCCATTCATAGAGCAGGTTTGAAACACTCTTTTTGGAGTATCTGGAAGTGGACATTTGGAGCGCTTTCTGAACTATGGTGAAAAAGGAAATATCTTCCAATGAAAACAAGACAGAAGCATTCTGAGAAACTTATTTGTGATGTGTGTCCTCAACAAACGGACTTGAACCTTTCGTTTCATGCAGTACTTCTGGAACACTCTTTTTGAAGATTCTGCATGCGGATATTTGGATAGCTTTGAGGATTTCGTTGGAAACGGGCTTACATGTAAAAATTAGACAGCAGCATTCTCAGAAACTTCTTTGTGGTGTCTGCATTCAAGTCACAGAATTGAACTTCCCCTCACATAGAGCAGCTGTGCAGCACTCTATTTGTAGTATCTGGAAGTGGACATTTGGAGGGCTTTGTAGCCTATCTGGAAAAAGGAAATATCTTCCCATGAATGCGAGATAGAAGTAATCTCAGAAACATGTTTATGCTGTATCTACTCAACTAACTGTGCTGAACATTTCTATTGATAGAGCAGTTTTGAGACACTCTTCTTTTGGAATCTGCAAGTGGATATTTGGATAGATTTGAGGATTTCGTTGGCAACGGGATTATATATAAAAAGTAGACAGCCGCATTCTCAGAAACTTCTTTGTGATGTTTGCATCCAGCTCTCAGAGTTGAACATTCCCTTTCATAGAGTAGGTTTGAAACCCTCTTTTTATAGTGTGTGGAAGCGGGCATTTGGAGCGCTTTCAGGCCTATGCTGAAAAAGGAAATATCTACCTATAGAAACTAGACAGAAGCATTCTGAGAATCACGTTTGTGATGTGGGTACTCAACTAACAGTGTTGATCCATTCTTTTGATACAGCAGTTTTGAACCACACTTTTTGTAGAATCTGCAAGTGGATATTTGGATAGCTGTGAGGATTTCGTTGGAAACGGGAATGTCTTCATAGAAAATGTAGACAGAAGCATTCTCAGAACCTTGATTGTGATGTGTGTTCTCCACTAACAGAGTTGAACCTTTCTTTTGACAGAACTGTTCTGAAACATTCTTTTTATAGAATCTGGAAGTGGATATTTGGAAAGCTTTGAGGATTTCGTTGGAAACGGGAATATCTTCAAATAAAATCTAGCCAGAAGCATTCTAAGAAACATCTTAGGGATGTTTACATTCAAGTCACAGAGTTGAACATTCCCTTTCACAGAGCAGGTTTGAAACAATCTTCTCGTACTATCTGGCAGTGGACATTTTGAGCTCCTTGGGGCCTATGCTGAAAAAGGAAATATCTTCCGACAAAAACTAGACAGAAGCATTCGCAGAATCACGTTTGTGATGTGTGCACTCAACTGTCAGAACTGAACCTTGGTTTGGACAGAGCACTTTTGAAACACTCTTTTTGTAGAATCTGCAGGTGGATATTTGGCTAGCTTTGAGGATTTCGTTGGAAACGGTAATGTCTTCAAAGAAAATCTAGACAGAAGCATTCTCAGAAACACCTTCGTGATGTTTGCAATCAAGTCACAGAGTTGAACCTTCCGTTTCATAGAGCAGGTTGGAAACACTCTTTTTGTAGTATCTGGAAGTGGACATTTGGAGGGCTTTGTAGCCTATCTGGAAAAAGGAAATATCTTCCCATGAATGCGAGATAGAAGTAATCTCAGAAACATGTTTATGCTGTATCTACTCAACTAACTGTGCTGAACATTTCTATTGATAGAGCAGTTTTGAGACACTCTTCTTTTGGAATCTGCAAGTGGATATTTGGATAGATTTGAGGATTTCGTTGGAAACGGGATTATATATAAAAAGTAGACAGCAGCATTCTCAGAAACTTCTTTGTGATGTTTGCATCCAGCTCTCAGAGTTGAACATTCCCTTTCATAGAGTAGGTTTGAAACCCTCTTTTTATAGTGTCTGGAAGCGGGCATTTGGAGCGCTTTCAGGCCTATGCTTAAAATAGGAAATATCTACCTACAGAAACTAGACAGAAGCATTCTGAGAATCACGTTTGTGATGTGGGTACTCAACTAACAGTGTTGATCCATTCTTTTGATACAGCAGTTTTGAACCACACTTTTTGTAGAATCTGCAAGAGGATATTTGGATAGCTGTGAGGATTTCGTTGGAAACGGGAATGTCTTCAAAGAAAATCTAGACAGAAGCATTCTCAGAAACACCTTCGTGATGTTTGCAATCAAGTCACAGAGTTGAACCTTCCGTTTCATAGAGCAGGTTGGAAACACTCTTATTGTAGTATCTGGAAGTGGACATTTGGAGCGCTTTCAGGCCTATGGTGAAAAAGGAAATATCTTCCCATAAAAACGACATAGAAGCTATCTCAGGAACTTGTTTATGATGCATCTAATCAACTAACAGTGTTGAACCTTTGTACTGACAGAGCAGTTTGAAACACTCTTTTTTTGGAATCTGCAAGTGGATATTTGGATCACTTTGAGGATTTCGTTGGAAACGGGATGCAATATAAAACGTACACAGCAGCATACTCAGAAAATTCTTTGCCATATTTCCATTCAAGTCACAGAGTGGAACATTCCCATTCATAGAGCAGGTTGGAAACACTCTTTTTGGAGTATCTGGAAGTGGACATTTGGAGCGCTTTCTGAACTATGGTGAAAAAGGAAATATCTTCCAATGAAAACAAGACAGAAGCATTCTGAGAAACTTATTTGTGATGTGTGTCCTCAACAAACGGACTTGAACCTTTCGTTTCATGCAGTACTTCTGGAACACTCTTTTTGAAGATTCTGCATGCGGATATTTGGATAGCTTTGAGGATTTCGTTGGAAACGGGCTTACATGTAAAAATTAGACAGCAGCATTCTCAGAAACTTCTTTGTGGTGTCTGCATTCAAGTCACAGAATTGAACATCCCCTCACATAGAGCAGTTGTGCAGCACTCTATTTGTAGTATCTGGAAGTGGACATTTGGAGGGCTTTGTAGCCTATGTGGAAAAAGGAAATATCTTCCCATGAATGCGAGATAGAAGTAATCTCAGAAACATGTTTATGCTGTATCTACTCAACTAACTGTGCTGAACATTTCTATTGATAGAGCAGTTTTGAGACACTCTTCTTTTGGAATCTGCAAGTGGATATTTGGATAGATTTGAGGATTTCGTTGGAAACGGGATTATATATAAAAAGTAGACAGCAGCATTCTCAGAAACTTCTTTGTGATGTTTGCATCCAGCTCTCAGAGTTGAACATTCCCTTTCATAGAGTAGGTTTGAAACCCTCTTTTTATAGTGTCTGGAAGCGGACATTTGGAGCGCTTTCAGGCCTATGCTTAAAATAGGAAATATCTACCTACAGAAACTAGACAGAAGCATTCTGAGAATCACGTTTGTGATGTGGGTACTCAACTAACAGTGTTGATCCATTCTTTTGATACAGCAGTTTTGAACCACACTTTTTGTAGAATCTGCAAGAGGATATTTGGATAGCTGTGAGGATTTCGTTGGAAACGGGAATGTCTTCAAAGAAAATCTAGACAGAAGCATTCTCAGAAACACCTTCGTGATGTTTGCAATCAAGTCACAGAGTTGAACCTTCCGTTTCATAGAGCAGGTTGGAAACACTCTTATTGTAGTATCAGGAAGTGGACATTTGGAGCGCTTTCAGGCCTATGGTGAAAAAGGAAATATCTTCCCATAAAAACGACATAGAAGCTATCTCAGGAACTTGTTTATGATGCATCTAATCAACTAACAGTGTTGAACCTTTGTACTGACAGAGCAGTTTGAAACACTCTTTTTTTGGAATCTGCAAGTGGATATTTGGATCGCTTTGAGGATTTCGTTGGAAACGGGATGCAATATAAAACGTACACAGCAGCATACTCAGAAAATACTTTGCCATATTTCCATTCAAGTCACAGAGTGGAACATTCCCATTCATAGAGCAGGTTGGAAACACTCTTTTTGGAGTATCTGGAAGTGGACATTTGGAGCGCTTTCTGAACTATGGTGAAAAAGGAAATATCTTCCAATGAAAACAACACAGAAGCATTCTGAGAAACTTATTTGTGATGTGTGTCCTCAACAAACGGACTTGAACCTTTCGTTTCATGCAGTACTTCTGGAACACTCTTTTTGAAGATTCTGCATGCGGATATTTGGATAGCTTTGAGGATTTCGTTGGAAACGGGCTTACATGTAAAAATTAGACAGCAGCATTCTCAGAAACTTCTTTGTGGTGTCTGCATTCAAGTCACAGAATTGAACATCCCCTCACATAGAGCAGTTGTGCAGCACTCTATTTGTAGTATCTGGAAGTGGACATTTGGAGGGCTTTGTAGCCTATGTGGAAAAAGGAAATATCTTCCCATGAATGCGAGATAGAAGTAATCTCAGAAACATGTTTATGCTGTATCTACTCAACTAACTGTGCTGAACATTTCTATTGATAGAGCAGTTTTGAGACACTCTTCTTTTGGAATCTGCAAGTGGATATTTGGATAGATTTGAGGATTTCGTTGGAAACGGGATTATATATAAAAAGTAGACAGCAGCATTCTCAGAAACTTCTTTGTGATGTTTGCATCCAGCTCTCAGAGTTGAACATTCCCTTTCATAGAGTAGGTTTGAAACCCTCTTTTTATAGTGTCTGGAAGCGGGCATTTGGAGCGCTTTCAGGCCTATGCTGAAAAAGGAAATATCTACCTATAGAAACTAGACAGAAGCATTCTGAGAATCACGTTTGTGATGTGGGTACTCAACTAACAGTGTTGATCCATTCTTTTGATACAGCAGTTTTGAACCACACTTTTTGTAGAATCTGCAAGTGGATATTTGGATAGCTGTGAGGATTTCGTTGGAAACGGGAATGTCTTCATAGAAAATTTAGACAGAAGCATTCTCAGAACCTTGATTGTGATGTGTGTTCTCCACTAACAGAGTTGAACCTTTCTTTTGACAGAAATGTTCTGAAACATTCTTTTTATAGAATCTGGAAGTGGATATTTGGAAAGCTTTGAGGATTTCGTTGGAAACGAGAATATCTTCAAATAAAATCTAGCCAGAAGCATTCTAAGAAACATCTTAGGGATGTTTACATTCAAGTCACAGAGTTGAACATTCCCTTTCACAGAGCAGGTTTGAAACAATCTTCTCGTACTATCTGGCAGTGGACATTTTGAGCTCCTTGGGGCCTATGCTGAAAAAGGAAATATCTTCCGACAAAAACTAGACAGAAGCATTCGCAGAATCACGTTTGTGATGTGTGCACTCAACTGTCAGAATTGAACCTTGGTTTGGACAGAGCACTTTTGAAACACTCTTTTTGTAGAATCTGCAGGTGGATATTTGGCTAGCTTTGAGGATTTCGTTGGAAACGGTAATGTCTTCAAAGAAAATCTAGACAGAAGCATTCTCAGAAACACCTTCGTGATGTTTGCAATCAAGTCACAGAGTTGAACCTTCCGTTTCATAGAGCAGGTTGGAAACACTCTTTTTGTAGTATCTGGAAGTGGACATTTGGAGGGCTTTGTAGCCTATCTGGAAAAAGGAAATATCTTCCCATGAATGCGAGATAGAAGTAATCTCAGAAACATGTTTATGCTGTATCTACTCAACTAACTGTGCTGAACATTTCTATTGATAGAGCAGTTTTGAGACACTCTTCTTTTGGAATCTGCAAGTGGATATTTGGATAGATTTGAGGATTTCGTTGGAAACGGGATTATATATCAAAAGTAGACAGCAGCATTCTCAGAAACTTCTTTGTGATGTTTGCATCCAGCTCTCAGAGTTGAACATTCCCTTTCATAGAGTAGGTTTGAAACCCTCTTTTTATAGTGTCTGGAAGCGGGCATTTGGAGCGCTTTCAGGCCTATGCTGAAAAAGGAAATATCTACCTATAGAAACTAGACAGAAGCATTCTGAGAATCACGTTTGTGATGTGGGTACTCAACTAACAGTGTTGATCCATTCTTTTGATACAGCAGTTTTGAACCACACTTTTTGTAGAATCTGCAAGTGGATATTTGGATAGCTGTGAGGATTTCGTTGGAAACGGGAATGTCTTCATAGAAAATTTAGACAGAAGCATTCTCAGAACCTTGATTGTGATGTGTGTTCTCCACTAACAGAGTTGAACCTTTCTTTTGACAGAACTGTTCTGAAACATTCTTTTTATAGAATCTGGAAGTGGATATTTGGAAACCTTTGAGGATTTCGTTGGAAACGGGAATATCTTCAAATCAAATCTAGCCAGAAGCATTCTAAGAAACATCTTAGGGATGTTTACATTCAAGTCACAGAGTTGAACATTCCCTTTCACAGAGCAGGTTTGAAACAATCTTCTCGTACTATCTGGCAGTGGACATTTTGAGCTCCTTGGGGCCTATGCTGAAAAAGGAAATATCTTCCGACAAAAACTAGACAGAAGCATTCGCAGAATCACGTTTGTGACGTGTGCACTCAACTGTCAGAATTGAACCTTGGTTTGGACAGAGCACTTTTGAAACACTCTTTTTGTAGAATCTGCAGGTGGATATTTGGCTAGCTTTGAGGATTTCGTTGGAAACGGTAATGTCTTCAAAGAAAATCTAGACAGAAGCATTCTCAGAAACACCTTCGTGATGTTTGCAATCAAGTCACAGAGTTGAACCTTCCGTTTCATAGAGCAGGTTGGAAACACTCTTTTTGTAGTATCTGGAAGTGGACATTTGGAGGGCTTTGTAGCCTATGTGGAAAAAGGAAATATCTTCCCATGAATGCGAGATAGAAGTAATCTCAGAAACATGTTTATGCTGTATCTACTCAACTAACTGTGCTGAACATTTCTATTGATAGAGCAGTTTTGAGACACTCTTCTTTTGGAATCTGCAAGTGGATATTTGGATAGATTTGAGGATTTCGTTGGAAACGGGATTATATATCAAAAGTAGACAGCAGCATTCTCAGAAACTTCTTTGTGATGTTTGCATCCAGCTCTCAGAGTTGAACATTCCCTTTCATAGAGTAGGTTTGAAACCCTCTTTTTATAGTGTCTGGAAGCGGGCATTTGGAGCGCTTTCAGGCCTATGCTGAAAAAGGAAATATCTACCTATAGAAACTAGACAGAAGCATTCTGAGAATCACGTTTGTGATGTGGGTACTCAACTAACAGTGTTGATCCATTCTTTTGATACAGCAGTTTTGAACCACACTTTTTGTAGAATCTGCAAGAGGATATTTGGATAGCTGTGAGGATTTCGTTGGAAACGGGAATGTCTTCAAAGAAAATCTAGACAGAAGCATTCTGAGGAACACCTTCGTGATGTTTGCAATCAAGTCACAGAGTTGAACCTTCCGTTTCATAGAGCAGGTTGGAAACACTCTTATTGTAGTATCTGGAAGTGGACATTTGGAGCGCTTTCAGGCCTATGGTGAAAAAGGAAATATCTTCCCATAAAAACGACATAGAAGCTATCTCAGGAACTTGTTTATGATGCATCTAATCAACTAACAGTGTTGAACCTTTCTACTGACAGAGCAGTTTGAAACACTCTTTTTTTGGAATCTGCAAGTGGATATTTGGATCACTTTGAGGATTTCGTTGGAAACGGGATGCAATATAAAACGTACACAGCAGCATACTCAGAAAATACTTTGCCATGTTTCCATTCAAGTCACAGAGTGGAACATTCCCATTCATAGAGCAGGTTGGAAACACTCTTTTTGGAGTATCTGGAAGTGGACATTTGGAGCGCTTTCTGAACTATGGTGAAAAAGGAAATATCTTCCAATGAAAACAAGACAGAAGCATTCTGAGAAACTTATTTGTGATGTGTGTCCTCAACAAACGGACTTGAACCTTTCGTTTCATGCAGTACTTCTGGAACACTCTTTTTGAAGATTCTGCATGCGGATATTTGGATAGCTTTGAGGATTTCGTTGGAAACGGCCTTACATGTAAAAATTAGACAGCAGCATTCTCAGAAACTTCTTTGTGGTGTCTGCATTCAAGTCACAGAATTGAACTTCCCCTCACATAGAGCAGTTGTGCAGCACTCTATTTGTAGTATCTGGAAGTGGACATTTGGAGGGCTTTGTAGCCTATCTGGAAAAAGGAAATATCTTCCCATGAATGCGAGATAGAAGTAATCTCAGAAACGTGTTTATGCTGTATCTACTCAACTAACTGTGCTGAACATTTCTATTGATAGAGCAGTTTTGAGACACTCTTCTTTTGGAATCTGCAAGTGGATATTTGGATAGATTTGAGGATTTCGTTGGAAACGGGATTATATATAAAAAGTAGACAGCAGCATTCTCAGAAACTTCTTTGTGATGTTTGCATCCAGCTCTCAGAGTTGAACATTCCCTTTCATAGAGTAGGTTTGAAACCCTCTTTTTATAGTGTCTGGAAGCGGGCATTTGGAGCGCTTTCAGGCCTATGCTTAAAATAGGAAATATCTACCTACAGAAACTAGACAGAAGCATTCTGAGAATCACGTTTGTGATGTGGGTACTCAACTAACAGTGTTGATCCATTCTTTTGATACAGCAGTTTTGAACCACACTTTTTGTAGAATCTGCAAGAGGATATTTGGATAGCTGTGAGGATTTCGTTGGAAACGGGAATGTCTTCAAAGAAAATCTAGACAGAAGCATTCTCAGAAACACCTTCGTGATGTTTGCAATCAAGTCACAGAGTTGAACCTTCCGTTTCATAGAGCAGGTTGGAAACACTCTTATTGTAGTATCTGGAAGTGGACATTTGGAGCGCTTTCAGGCCTATGGTGAAAAAGGAAATATCTTCCCATAAAAACGACATAGAAGCTATCTCAGGAACTTGTTTATGATGCATCTAATCAACTAACAGTGTTGAACCTTTGTACTGACAGAGCAGTTTGAAACACTCTTTTTTTGGAATCTGCAAGTGGATATTTGGATCGCTTTGAGGATTTCGTTGGAAACGGGATGCAATATAAAACGTACACAGCAGCATACTCAGAAAATACTTTGCCATATTTCCATTCAAGTCACAGAGTGGCACATTCCCATTCACAGAGCAGGTTGGAAACACTCTTTTTGGAGTATCTGGAAGTGGACATTTGGAGCGCTTTCTGAACTATGGTGAAAAAGGAAATATCTTCCAATGAAAACAAGACAGAAGCATTCTGAGAAACTTATTTGTGATGTGTGTCCTCAACAAACGGACTTGAACCTTTCGTTTCATGCAGTACTTCTGGAACACTCTTTTTGAAGATTCTGCATGCGGATATTTGGATAGCTTTGAGGATTTCGTTGGAAACGGGCTTACATGTAAAAATTAGACAGCAGCATTCTCAGAAACTTCTTTGTGGTGTCTGCATTCAAGTCACAGAGTTGAACTTCCCCTCACATAGAGCAGTTGTGCAGCACTCTATTTGTAGTATCTGGAAGGGGACATTTGGAGGGCTTTGTAGCCTATCTGGAAAAAGGAAATATCTTCCCATGAATGCGAGATAGAAGTAATCTCAGAAACATGTTTATGCTGTATCTACTCAACTAACTGTGCTGAACATTTCTATTGATAGAGCAGTTTTCAGACACTCTTCTTTTGGAATCTGCAAGTGGATATTTGGATAGATTTGAGGATTTCGTTGGAAACGGGATTATATATAAAAAGTAGACAGCAGCATTCTCAGAAACTTCTTTGTGATGTTTGCATCCAGCTCTCAGAGTTGAACATTCCCTTTCATAGAGTAGGTTTGAAACCCTCTTTTTATAGTGTCTGGAAGCGGGCATTTGGAGCGCTTTCAGGCCTATGCTGAAAAAGGAAATATCTACCTATAGAAACTAGACAGAAAGCATTCTGAGAATCACGTTTGTGATGTGGGTACTCAACTAACAGTGTTGATCCATTCTTTTGATACAGCAGTTTTGAACCACCCTTTTTGTAGAATCTGCAAGTGGATATTTGGATAGCTGTGAGGATTTCGTTGGAAACGGGAATGTCTTCATAGAAAATTTAGACAGAGCATTCTCAGAACCTTGATTGTGATGTGTGTTCTCCACTAACAGAGTTGAACCTTTCTTTTGACAGAACTGTTCTGAAACATTCTTTTTATAGAATCTGGAAGTGGATATTTGGAAAGCTTTGAGGATTTCGTTGGAAACGGGAATATCTTCAAATGAAATCTAGCCAGAAGCATTCTAAGAAACATCTTAGGGATGTTTACATTCAAGTCACAGAGTTGAACATTCCCTTTCACAGAGCAGGTTTGAAACAATCTTCTCGTACTATCTGGCAGTGGACATTTTGAGCTCCTTGGGGCCTATGCTGAAAAAGGAAATATCTTCCGACAAAAACTAGACAGAAGCATTCGCAGAATCACGTTTGTGATGTGTGCACTCAACTCTCAGAATTGAACCTTGGTTTGGACAGAGCACTTTTGAAACACTCTTTTTGTAGAATCTGCAGGTGGATATTTGGCTAGCTTTGAGGATTTCGTTGGAAACGGTAATGTCTTCAAAGAAAATCTAGACAGAAGCATTCTCAGAAACACCTTCGTGATGTTTGCAATCAAGTCACAGAGTTGAACCTTCCGTTTCATAGAGCAGGTTGGAAACACTCTTATTGTAGTATCTGGAAGTGGACATTTGGAGCGCTTTCAGGCCTATGGTGAAAAAGGAAATATCTTCCCATAAAAACGACATAGAAGCTATCTCAGGAACTTGTTTATGAGGCATCTAATCAACTAACAGTGTTGAACCTTTGTACTGACAGAGCAGTTTGAAACACTCTTTTTTTGGAATCTGCAAGTGGATATTTGGATCGCTTTGAGGATTTCGTTGGAAACGGGATGCAATATAAAACGTACACAGCAGCATACTCAGAAAATACTTTGCCATATTTCCATTCAAGTCACAGAGTGGAACATTCCCATTCATAGAGCAGGTTGGAAACACTCTTTTTGGAGTATCTGGAAGTGGACATTTGGAGCGCTTTCTGAACTATGGTGAAAAAGGAAATATCTTCCAATGAAAACAAGACAGAAGCATTCTGAGAAACTTATTTGTGATGTGTGTCCTCAACAAACGGGACTTGAACCTTTCGTTTCATGCAGTACTTCTGGAACACTCTTTTTGAAGATTCTGCATGCGGATATTTGGATAGCTTTGAGGATTTCGTTGGAAACGGGCTTACATGTAAAAATTAGACAGCAGCATTCTCAGAAACTTCTTTGTGGTGTCTGCATTCAAGTCACAGAATTGAACATCCCCTCACATAGAGCAGTTGTGCAGCACTCTATTTGTAGTATCTCGAAGTGGACATTTGGAGGGCTTTGTAGCCTATCTGGAAAAAGGAAATATCTTCCCATGAATGCGAGATAGAAGTAATCTCAGAAACATGTTTATGCTGTATCTACTGAACTAACTGTGCTGAACATTTCTATTGATAGAGCAGTTTTGAGACACTCTTCTTTTGGAATCTGCAAGTGGGTATTTGGATAGATATGAGGATTTCGTTGGAAACGGGATTATATATAAAAAGTAGACAGCCGCATACTCAGAAACTTCTTTGTGATGTTTGCATCCAGCTCTCAGGGTTGAACATTCCCTTTCATAGAGTAGGTTTGAAACCCTCTTTTTATAGTGTGTGGAAGCGGGCATTTGGAGCGCTTTCAGGCCTATGCTGAAAAAGGAAATATCTACCTATAGAAACTAGACAGAAGCATTCTGAGAATCACGTTTGTGATGTGGGTACTCAACTAACAGTGTTGATTCATTCTTTTGATACAGCAGTTTTGAACCACACTTTTTGTAGAATCTGCAAGTGGATATTTGGATAGCTGTGAGGATTTCCTTGGAAACGGGAATGTCTTCATAGAAAATTTAGACAGAAGCATTCTCAGAACCTTGATTGTGATGTGTGTTCTCCACTAACAGAGTTGAACCTTTCTTTTGACAGAACTGTTCTGAAACATTCTTTTTATAGAATCTGGAAGTGGATATTTGGAAAGCTTTGAGGATTTCGTTGGAAACGGGAATATCTTCAAATCAAATCTAGCCAGAAGCATTCTAAGAAACATCTTAGGGATGTTTACATTCAAGTCACAGAGTTGAACATTCCCTTTCACAGAGCAGGTTTGAAACAATCTTCTCGTACTATCTGGAAGTGGACATTTTGAGCTCCTTGGGGCCTATGCTGAAAAAGGAAATATCTTCCGACAAAAACTAGACAGAAGCATTCGCAGAATCACGTTTGTGATGTGTGCACTCAACTGTCAGAATTGAACCTTGGTTTGGACAGAGCACTTTTGAAACACTCTTTTTGTAGAATCTGCAGGTGGATATTTGGCTAGCTTTGAGGATTTCGTTGGAAACGGTAATGTCTTCAAAGAAAATCTAGACAGAAGCATTCTCAGAAACACCTTCGTGATGTTTGCAATCAAGTCACAGAGTTGAACCTTCCGTTTCATAGAGCAGGTTGGAAACACTCTTTTTGTAGTATCTGGAAGTGGACATTTGGAGGGCTTTGTAGCCTATGTGGAAAAAGGAAATATCTTCCCATGAATGCGAGATAGAAGTAATCTCAGAAACATGTTTATGCTGTATCTACTCAACTAACTGTGCTGAACATTTCTATTGATAGAGCAGTTTTGAGACACTCTTCTTTTGGAATCTGCAAGTGGATATTTGGATAGATTTGAGGATTTCGTTGGAAACGGGATTATATATAAAAAGTAGACAGCAGCATTCTCAGAAACTTCTTTGTGATGTTTGCATCCAGCTCTCAGAGTTGAACATTCCCTTTCATAGAGTAGGTTTGAAACCCTCTTTTTATAGTGTCTGGAAGCGGGCATTTGGAGCGCTTTCAGGCCTATGCTTAAAATAGGAAATATCTACCTACAGAAACTAGACAGAAGCATTCTGAGAATCACGTTTGTGATGTGGGTACTCAACTAACAGTGTTGATCCATTCTTTTGATACAGCAGTTTTGAACCACACTTTTTGTAGAATCTGCAAGTGGATATTTGGATAGCTGTGAGGATTTCGTTGGAAACGGGAATGTCTTCATAGAAAATTTAGACAGAAGCATTCTCAGAAACACCTTCGTGATGTTTGCAATCAAGTCACAGAGTTGAACCTTCCGTTTCATAGAGCAGGTTGGAAACACTCTTATTGTAGTATCTGGAAGTGGACATTTGGAGCGCTTTCAGGCCTATGGTGAAAAAGGAAATATCTTCCCATAAAAACGACATAGAAGCTATCTCAGGAACTTGTTTATGATGCATCTAATCAACTAACAGTGTTGAACCTTTGTACTGACAGAGCAGTTTGAAACACTCTTTTTTTGGAATCTGCAAGTGGATATTTGGATCGCTTTGAGGATTTCGTTGGAAACGGGATGCAATATAAAACGTACACAGCAGCATACTCAGAAAATACTTTGCCATATTTCCATTCAAGTCACAGAGTGGAACATTCCCATTCATAGAGCAGGTTTGAAACACTCTTTTTGGAGTATCTGGAAGTGGACATTTGGAGCGCTTTCTGAACTATGGTGAAAAAGGAAATATCTTCCAATGAAAACAAGACAGAAGCATTCTGAGAAACTTATTTGTGATGTGTGTCCTCAACAAACGGACTTGAAACTTTCGTTTCATGCAGTACTTCTGGAACACTCTTTTTGAAGATTCTGCATGCGGATATTTGGATAGCTTTGAGGATTTCGTTGGAAACGGGCTTACATGTAAAAATTAGACAGCAGCATTCTCAGAAACTTCTTTGTGGTGTCTGCATTCAAGTCACAGAATTGAACTTCCCCTCACATAGAGCAGTTGTGCAGCACTCTATTTGTAGTATCTGGAAGTGGACATTTGGAGGGCTTTGTAGCCTATCTGGAAAAAGGAAATATCTTCCCATGAATGCGAGATAGAAGTAATCTCAGAAACATGTTTATGCTGTATCTACTCAACTAACTGTGCTGAACATTTCTATTGATAGAGCAGTTTTGAGACACTCTTCTTTTGGAATCTGCAAGTGGATATTTGGATAGATTTGAGGATTTCGTTGGAAACGGGATTATATATAAAAAGTAGACAGCAGCATTCTCAGAAACTTCTTTGTGATGTTTGCATCCAGCTCTCAGAGTTGAACATTCCCTTTCATAGAGTAGGTTTGAAACCCTCTTTTTATAGTGTCTGGAAGCGGGCATTTGGAGCGCTTTCAGGCCTATGCTTAAAATAGGAAATATCTACCTATAGAAACTAGACAGAAGCATTCTGAGAATCACGTTTGTGATGTGGGTACTCAACTAACAGTGTTGATCCATTCTTTTGATACAGCAGTTTTGAACCACACTTTTTGTAGAATCTGCAAGTGGATATTTGGATAGCTGTGAGGATTTCGTTGGAAACGGGAATGTCTTCATAGAAAATTTAGACAGAAGCATTCTCAGAACCTTGATTGTGATGTGTGTTCTCCACTAACAGAGTTGAAACTTTCTTTTGACAGAACTGTTCTGAAACATTCTTTTTATAGAATCTGGAAGTGGATATTTGGAAAGCTTTGAGGATTTCGTTGGAAACGGGAATATCTTCAAATCAAATCTAGCCAGAAGCATTCTAAGAAACAGCTTAGGGATGTTTACATTCAAGTCACAGAGTTGAACATTCCCTTTCACAGAGCAGGTTTGAAACAATCTTCTCGTACTATCTGGCAGTGGACATTTTGAGCTCCTTGGGGCCTATGCTGAAAAAGGAAATATCTTCCGACAAAAACTAGACAGAAGCATTCGCAGAATCACGTTTGTGATGTGTGCACTCAACTGTCAGAATTGAACCTTGGTTTGGAGAGAGCACTCTTGAAACACTCTTTTTGTAGAATCTGCAGGTGGATATTTGGCTAGCTTTGAGGATTTCGTTGGAAACGGGAATGTCTTCAAAGAAAATCTAGACAGAAGCATTCTCAGAAACACCTTCGTGATGTTTGCAATCAAGTCACAGAGTTGAACCTTCCGTTTCATAGAGCAGGTTGGAAACACTCTTTTTGTAGTATCTGGAAGTGGACATTTGGAGTGCTTTCAGGCCTATGGTGAAAAAGGAAATATCTTCCCATAAAAACGACATAGAAGCTATCTCAGGAACTTGTTTATGATGCATCTAATCAACTAACAGTGTTGAACCTTTGTACTGACAGAGCACTTTGAAACACTCTTTTTTTGGAATCTGCAAGTGGATATTTGGATCGCTTTGAGGATTTCGTTGGAAACGGGATGCAATATAAAACGTACACAGCAGCATACTCAGAAAATACTTTGCCATATTTCCATTCAAGTCACAGAGTGGAACATTCCCATTCATAGAGCAGGTTGGAAACACTCTTTTTGGAGTATCTGGAAGTGGACATTTGGAGCGCTTTCTGAACTATGGTGAAAAAGGAAATATCTTCCAATGAAAACAAGACAGAAGCATTCTGAGAAACTTATTTGTGATGTGTGTCCTCAACAAACGGACTTGAACCTTTCGTTTCATGCAGTACTTCTGGAACACTCTTTTTGAAGATTCTGCATGCGGATATTTGGATAGCTTTGAGGATTTCGTTGGAAACGGGCTTACATGTAAAAATAGACAGCAGCATTCTCAGAAACTTCTCTGTGGTGTCTGCATCCAAGTCACAGAATTGAACATCCCCTCACATAGAGCAGTTGTGCAGCACTCTATTTGTAGTATCTCGAAGTGGACATTTGGAGGGCTTTGTAGCCTATCTGGAAAAAGGAAATATCTTCCCAAGAATGCGAGATAGAAGTAATCTCAGAAACATGTTTATGCTGTATCTACTCAACTAACTGTGCTGAACATTTCTATTGATAGAGCAGTTTTGAGACACTCTTCTTTTGGAATCTGCAAGTGGATATTTGGATGGATTTGAGGATTTCGTTGGAAACGGGATTATATATAAAAAGTGAGACAGCCGCATTCTCAGAAACTTCTTTGTGATGTTTGCATCCAGCTCTCAGAGTTGAACATTCCCTTTCGTAGAGTAGGTTTGAAACCCTCTTTTTATAGTGTCTGGAAGCGGGCATTTGGAGCGCTTTCAGGCCTATGCTGAAAAAGGAAATATCTACCTATAGAAACTAGACAGAAGCATTCTGAGAATCACGTTGGTGATGTGGGTACTCAACTAACAGTGTTGATCCATTCTTTTGATACAGCAGTTTTGAACCACACTTTTTGTAGAATCTGCAAGTGGATATTTGGATAGCTGTGAGGATTTCCTTGGAAACGGGAATGTCTTCATAGAAAATTTAGACAGAAGCATTCTCAGAACCTTGATTGTGATGTGTGTTCTCCACTAACAGAGTTGAACCTTTCTTTTGACAGAACTGTTCTGAAACATTCTTTTTATAGAATCTGGAAGTGGATATTTGGAAAGCTTTGAGGATTTCGTTGGAAACGGGAATATCTTCAAATCAAATCTAGCCAGAAGCATTCTAAGAAACAGCTTAGGGATGTTTACATTCAAGTCACAGAGTTGAACATTCCCTTTCACAGAGCAGGTTTGAAACAATCTTCTCGTACTATCTGGCAGTGGACATTTTGAGCTCCTTGGGGCCTATGCTGAAAAAGGAAATATCTTCCGACAAAAACTAGACAGAAGCATTCGCAGAATCACGTTTGTGATGTGTGCACTCAACTGTCAGAATTGAACCTTGGTTTGGAGAGAGCACTCTTGAAACACTCTTTTTGTAGAATCTGCAGGTGGATATTTGGCTAGCTTTGAGGATTTCGTTGGAAACGGGAATGTCTTCAAAGAAAATCTAGACAGAAGCATTCTCAGAAACACCTTCGTGATGTTTGCAATCAAGTCACAGAGTTGAACCTTCCGTTTCATAGAGCAGGTTGGAAACACTCTTTTTGTAGTATCTGGAAGTGGACATTTGGAGCGCTTTCAGGCCTATGGTGAAAAAGGAAATATCTTCCCATAAAAACGACATAGAAGCTATCTCAGGAACTTGTTTATGATGCATCTAATCAACTAACAGTGTTGAACCTTTGTACTGACAGAGCAGTTTGAAACACTCTTTTTTTGGAATCTGCAAGTGGATATTTGGATCGCTTTGAGGATTTCGTTGGAAACGGGATGCAATATAAAACGTACACAGCAGCATACTCAGAAAATACTTTGCCATATTTCCATTCAAGTCACAGAGTGGAACATTCCCATTCATAGAGCAGGTTGGAAACACTCTTTTTGGAGTATCTGGAAGTGGACATTTGGAGCGCTTTCTGAACTATGGTGAAAAAGGAAATATCTTCCAATGAAAACAAGACAGAAGCATTCTGAGAAACTTATTTGTGATGTGTGTCCTCAACAAACGGACTTGAACCTTTCGTTTCATGCAGTACTTCTGGAACACTCTTTTTGAAGATTCTGCATGCGGATATTTGGATAGCTTTGAGGATTTCGTTGGAAACGGGCTTACATGTAAAAATTAGACAGCAGCATTCTCAGAAACTTCTTTGTGGTGTCTGCATTCAAGTCACAGAATTGAACATCCCCTCACATAGAGCAGTTGTGCAGCACTCTATTTGTAGTATCTCGAAGTGGACATTTGGAGGGCTTTGAAGCCTATCTGGAAAAAGGAAATATCTTCCCATGAATGCGAGATAGAAGTAATCTCAGAAACATGTTTATGCTGTATCTACTCAACTAACTGTGCTGAACATTTCTATTGATAGAGCAGTTTTGAGACACTCTTCTTTTGGAATCTGCAAGTGGATATTTGGATAGATTTGAGGATTTCGTTGGAAACGGGATTATATATCAAAAGTAGACAGCAGCATTCTCAGAAACTTCTTTGTGATGTTTGCATCCAGCTCTCAGAGTTGAACATTCCCTTTCGTAGAGTAGGTTTGAAACCCTCTTTTTATAGTGTCTGGAAGCGGGCATTTGGAGCGCTTTCAGGCCTATGCTGAAAAAGGAAATATCTACCTATAGAAAGTAGACAGAAGCATTCTGAGAATCACGTTTGTGATGTGGGTACTCAACTAACAGTGTTGATCCATTCTTTTGATACAGCAGTTTTGAACCACACTTTTTGTAGAATCTGCAAGTGGATATTTGGATAGCTGTGAGGATTTCGTTGGAAACGGGAATGTCTTCATAGAAAATTTAGACAGAAGCATTCTCAGAACCTTGATTGTGATGTGTGTTCTCCACTAACAGCAGTTGAACCTTTCTTTTGACAGAACTGTTCTGAAACATTCTTTTTATAGAATCTGGAAGTGGATATTTGGAAAGCTTTGAGGATTTCGTTGGAAACGGGAATATCTTCAAATCAAATCTAGCCAGAAGCATTCTAAGAAACATCTTAGGGATGTTTACATTCAAGTCACAGAGTTGAACATTCCCCTTTCTCAGAGCAGGTTTGAAACAATCTTCTCGTACTATCTGGCAGTGGACATTTTGAGCTCCTTGCGGCCTATGCTGAAAAAGGAAATATCTTCCGACAAAAACTAGACAGAAGCATTCGCAGAATCACGTTTGTGATGTGTGCACTCAACTGTCAGAATTGAACCTTGGTTTGGACAGAGCACTTTTGAAACACTCTTTTTGTAGAATCTGCAGGTGGATATTTGGCTAGCTTTGAGGATTTCGTTGGAAACGGTAATGTCTTCAAAGAAAATCTAGACAGAAGCATTCTCAGAAACACCTTCGTGATGTTTGCAATCAAGTCACAGAGTTGAACCTTCCGTTTCATAGAGCAGGTTGGAAACACTCTTTTTGTAGTATCTGGAAGTGGACATTTGGAGGGCTTTGTAGCCTATGTGGAAAAAGGAAATATCTTCCCATGAATGCGAGATAGAAGTAATCTCAGAAACATGTTTATGCTGTATCTACTCAACTAACTGTGCTGAACATTTCTATTGATAGAGCAGTTTTGAGACACTCTTCTTTTGGAATCTGCAAGTGGATATTTGGAGAGATTTGAGGATTTCGTTGGAAACGGGATTATATATAAAAAGTAGACAGCAGCATTCTCAGAAACTTCTTTGTGATGTTTGCATCCAGCTCTCAGAGTTGAACATTCCCTTTCATAGAGTAGGTTTGAAACCCTCTTTTTATAGTGTCTGGAAGCGGGCATTTGGAGCGCTTTCAGGCCTATGCTGAAAAAGGAAATATCTACCTATAGAAACTAGACAGAAGCATTCTGAGAATCACGTTTGTGATGTGGGTACTCAACTAACAGTGTTGATCCATTCTTTTGATACAGCAGTTTTGAACCACACTTTTTGTAGAATCTGCAAGTGGATATTTGGATAGCTGTGAGGATTTCGTTGGAAACGGGAATGTCTTCATAGAAAATTTAGACAGAAGCATTCTCAGAACCTTGATTGTGATGTGTGTTCTCCACTAACAGAGTTGAAACTTTCTTTTGACAGAACTGTTCTGAAACATTCTTTTTATAGAATCTGGAAGTGGATATTTGGAAAGCTTTGAGGATTTCGTTGGAAACGGGAATATCTTCAAATCAAATCTAGCCAGAAGCATTCTAAGAAACATCTTAGGGATGTTTACATTCAAGTCACAGAGTTGAACATTCCCTTTCACAGAGCAGGTTTGAAACAATCTTCTCGTACTATCTGGCAGTGGACATTTTGAGCTCCTTGGGGCCTATGCTGAAAAAGGAAATATCTTCCGACAAAAACTAGACAGAAGCATTCGCAGAATCACGTTTGTGATGTGTGCACTCAACTGTCAGAATTGAACCTTGGTTTGGACAGAGCACTTTTGAAACACTCTTTTTGTGGAATCTGCAGGTGGATATTTGGCTAGCTTTGAGGATTTCGTTGGAAACGGTAATGTCTTCAAAGAAAATCTAGACAGAAACATTCTCAGAAACACCTTCGTGATGTTTGCAATCAAGTCACAGAGTTGAACCTTCCGTTTCATAGAGCAGGTTGGAAACACTCTTATTGTAGTATCTGGAAGTGGACATTTGGAGCGCTTTCAGGCCTATGGTGAAAAAGGAAATATCTTCCCATAAAAACGACATAGAAGCTATCTCAGGAACTTGTTTATGAGGCATCTAATCAACTAACAGTGTTGAACCTTTGTACTGACAGAGCAGTTTGAAACACTCTTTTTTTGGAATCTGCAAGTGGATATTTGGATCGCTTTGAGGATTTCGTTGGAAACGGGATGCAATATAAAACGTACACAGCAGCATACTCAGAAAATTCTTTGCCATATTTCCATTCAAGTCACAGAGTGGAACATTCCCATTCATAGAGCAGGTTGGAAACACTCTTTTTGGAGTATCTGGAAGTGGACATTTGGAGCGCTTTCTGAACTATGGTGAAAAAGGAAATATCTTCCAATGAAAACAAGACAGAAGCATTCTGAGAAACTTATTTGTGATGTGTGTCCTCAACAAACGGACTTGAACCTTTCGTTTCATGCAGTACTTCTGGAACACTCTTTTTGAAGATTCTGCATGCGGATATTTGGATAGCTTTGAGGATTTCGTTGGAAACGGGCTTACATGTAAAAATAGACAGCAGCATTCTCAGAAACTTCTTTGTGGTGTCTGCATTCAAGTCACAGAATTGAACTTCCCCCTCACATAGAGCAGTTGTGCAGCACTCTATTTGTAGTATCTGGAAGTGGACATTTGGAGGGCTTTGTAGCCTATCTGGAAAAAGGAAATATCTTCCCATGAATGCGAGATAGAAGTAATCTCAGCAAACATGTTTATGCTGTATCTAATCAACTAACTGTGCTGAACATTTCTATTGATAGAGCAGTTTTGAGACACTCTTCTTTTGGAATCTGCAAGTGGATATTTGGATAGATTTGAGGATTTCGTTGGAAACGGGATTATATATAAAAAGTAGACAGCAGCATTCTCAGAAACTTCTTTGTGATGTTTGCATCCAGCTCTCAGAGTTGAACATTCCCTTTCATAGAGTAGGTTTGAAACCCTCTTTTTATAGTGTCTGGAAGCGGGCATTTGGAGCGCTTTCAGGCCTATGCTTAAAATAGGAAATATCTACCTACAGAAACTAGACAGAAGCATTCTGAGAATCACGTTTGTGATGTGGGTACTCAACTAACAGTGTTGATCCATTCTTTTGATACAGCAGTTTTGAACCACACTTTTTGTAGAATCTGCAAGAGGATATTTGGATAGCTGTGAGGATTTCGTTGGAAACGGGAATGTCTTCAAAGAAAATCTAGACAGAAGCATTCTCAGAAACACCTTCGTGATGTTTGCAATCAAGTCACAGAGTTGAACCTTCCGTTTCATAGAGCAGGTTGGAAACACTCTTATTGTAGTATCTGGAAGTGGACATTTGGAGCGC
Source organism: Homo sapiens (assembly GCF_000001405.40). Lineage (NCBI taxonomy): Eukaryota > Metazoa > Chordata > Mammalia > Primates > Hominidae > Homo > Homo sapiens. Next base: position 45,240,497 of record NC_000008.11, read on the forward strand.
TTTCAGGCCTATGGTGAAAAAGGAAATATCTTCCCATAAAAACGACATAGAAGCTATCTCAGGAACTTGTTTATGATGCATCTAATCAACTAACAGTGTTGAACCTTTGTACTGACAGAGCAGTTTGAAACACTCTTTTTTTGGAATCTGCAAGTGGATATTTGGATCGCTTTGAGGATTTCGTTGGAAACGGGATGCAATATAAAACGTACACAGCAGCATACTCAGAAAATACTTTGCCATATTTCCATTCAAGTCACAGAGTGGAACATTCCCATTCATAGAGCAGGTTGGAAACACTCTTTTTGGAGTATCTGGAAGTGGACATTTGGAGCGCTTTCTGAACTATGGTGAAAAAGGAAATATCTTCCAATGAAAACAAGACAGAAGCATTCTGAAAAACTTATTTGTGATGTGTGTCCTCAACAAACGGACTTGAACCTTTCGTTTCATGCAGTACTTCTGGAACACTCTTTTTGAAGATTCTGCATGCGGATATTTGGATAGCTTTGAGGATTTCGTTGGAAACGGGCTTACATGTAAAAATTAGACAGCAGCATTCTCAGAAACTTCTTTGTGGTGTCTGCATTCAAGTCACAGAATTGAACATCCCCTCACATAGAGCAGTTGTGCAGCACTCTATTTGTAGTATCTGGAAGTGGACATTTGGAGGGCTTTGTAGCCTATCTGGAAAAAGGAAATATCTTCCCATGAATGCGAGATAGAAGTAATCTCAGAAAGATGTTTATGCTGTATCTACTCAACTAACTGTGCTGAACATTTCTATTGATAGAGCAGTTTTGAGACACTCTTCTTTTGGAATCTGCAAGTGGATATTTGGATAGATTTGAGGATTTCGTTGGAAACGGGATTATATATAAAAAGTAGACAGCAGCATTCTCAGAAACTTCTTTGTGATGTTTGCATCCAGCTCTCAGAGTTGAACATTCCCTTTCATAGAGTAGGTTTGAAACCCTCTTTTTATAGTGTCTGGAAGCGGGCATTTGGAGCGCTTTCAGGCCTATGCTTAAAATAGGAAATATCTACCTACAGAAACTAGACAGAAGCATTCTGAGAATCACGTTTGTGATGTGGGTACTCAACTAACAGTGTTGATCCATTCTTTTGATACAGCAGTTTTGAACCACACTTTTTGTAGAATCTGCAAGAGGATATTTGGATAGCTGTGAGGATTTCGTTGGAAACGGGAATGTCTTCAAAGAAAATCTAGACAGAAGCATTCTCAGAAACACCTTCGTGATGTTTGCAATCAAGTCACAGAGTTGAACCTTCCGTTTCATAGAGCAGGTTGGAAACACTCTTATTGTAGTATCTGGAAGTGGACATTTGGAGCGCTTTCAGGCCTATGGTGAAAAAGGAAATATCTTCCCATAAAAACGACATAGAAGCTATCTCAGGAACTTGTTTATGATGCATCTAATCAACTAACAGTGTTGAACCTTTGTACTGACAGAGCAGTTTGAAACACTCTTTTTTTGGAATCTACAAGTGGATATTTGGATCGCTTTGAGGATTTCGTTGGAAACGGGATGCAATATAAAACGTACACAGCAGCATACTCAGAAAATACTTTGCCATATTTCCATTCAAGTCACAGAGTGGAACATTCCCATTCATAGAGCAGGTTGGAAACACTCTTTTTGGAGTATCTGGAAGTGGACATTTGGAGCGCTTTCTGAACTATGGTGAAAAAGGAAATATCTTCCAATGAAAACAAGACAGAAGCATTCTGAGAAACTTATTTGTGATGTGTGTCCTCAACAAACGGACTTGAACCTTTCGTTTCATGCAGTACTTCTGGAACACTCTTTTTGAAGATTCTGCATGCGGATATTTGGATAGCTTTGAGGATTTCGTTGGAAACGGGCTTACATGTAAAAATTAGACAGCAGCATTCTCAGAAACTTCTTTGTGGTGTCTGCATTCAAGTCACAGAATTGAACTTCCCCTCACATAGAGCAGTTGTGCAGCACTCTATTTGTAGTATCTGGAAGTGGACATTTGGAGGGCTTTGTAGCCTATCTGGAAAAAGGAAATATCTTCCCATGAATGCGAGATAGAAGTAATCTGAGAAACATGTTTATGCTGTATCTACTCAACTAACTGTGCTGAACATTTCTATTGATAGAGCAGTTTTGAGACACTCTTCTTTTGGAATCTGCAAGTGGATATTTGGATAGATTTGAGGATTTCGTTGGAAACGGGATTATATATAAAAAGTAGACAGCAGCATTCTCAGAAACTTCTTTGTGATGTTTGCATCCAGCTCTCAGAGTTGAACATTCCCTTTCATAGAGTAGGTTTGAAACCCTCTTTTTATAGTGTCTGGAAGCGGGCATTTGGAGCGCTTTCAGGCCTATGCTTAAAATAGGAAATATCTACCTACAGAAACTAGACAGAAGCATTCTGAGAATCACGTTGGTGATGTGGGTACTCAACTAACAGTGTTGATCCATTCTTTTGATACAGCAGTTTTGAACCACACTTTTTGTAGAATCTGCAAGTGGATACTTGGATAGCTGTGAGGATTTCGTTGGAAACGGGAATGTCTTCATAGAAAATTTAGACAGGAAGCATTCTCAGAACCTTGATTGTGAAGTGTGTTCTCCACTAACAGAGTTGAACCTTTCTTTTGACAGAACTGTTCTGAAACATTCTTGTTATAGAATCTGGAAGTGGATATTTGGAAAGCTTTGAGGATTTCGTTGGAAACGGGAATATCTTCAAATCAAATCTAGCCAGAAGCATTCTAAGAAACATCTTAGGGATGTTTACATTCAAGTCACAGAGTTGAACATTCCCTTTCACAGAGCAGGTTTGAAACAATCTTCTCGTACTATCTGGCAGTGGACATTTTGAGCTCCTTGGGGCCTATGCTGAAAAAGGAAATATCTTCCGACAAAAACTAGACAGAAGCATTCGCAGAATCACGTTTGTGATGTGTGCACTCAACTGTCAGAATTGAACCTTGGTTTGGACAGAGCACTTTTGAAACACTCTTTTTGTAGAATCTGCAGGTGGATATTTGGCTAGCTTTGAGGATTTCGTTGGAAACGGTAATGACTTCAAAGAAAATCTACACAGAAGCATTCTCAGAAACACCTTCGTGATGTTTGCAATCAAGTCACAGAGTTGAACCTTCCGTTTCATAGAGCAGGTTGGAAACACTCTTTTTGTAGTATCTGGAAGTGGACATTTGGAGGGCTTTGTAGCCTATCTGGAAAAAGGAAATATCTTCCCATGAATGCGAGATAGAAGTAATCTCAGAAACATGTTTATGCTGTATCTACTCAACTAACTGTGCTGAACATTTCTATTGATAGAGCAGTTTTGAGACACTCTTCTTTTGGAATCTGCAAGTGGATATTTGGATAGATTTGAGGATTTCGTTGGAAACGGGATTATATATAAAAAGTAGACAGCAGCATTCTCAGAAACTTCTTTGTGATGTTTGCATCCAGCTCTCAGAGTTGAACATTCCCTTTCATAGAGTAGGTTTGAAACCCTCTTTTTATAGTGTCTGGAAGCGGGCATTTGGAGCGCTTTCAGGCCTATGCTGAAAAAGGAAATATCTACCTATAGAAACTAGACAGAAGCATTCTGAGAATCACGTTTCTGATGTGGGTACTCAACTAACAGTGTTGATCCATTCTTTTGATACAGCAGTTTTGAACCACACTTTTTGTAGAATCTGCAAGTGGATATTTGGATAGCTGTGAGGATTTCGTTGGAAACGGGAATGTCTTCATAGAAAATTTAGACAGAAGCATTCTCAGAACCTTGATTGTGATGTGTGTTCTCCACTAACAGAGTTGAAACTTTCTTTTGACAGAACTGTTCTGAAACATTCTTTTTATAGAATCTGGAAGTGGATATTTGGAAAGCTTTGAGGATTTCGTTGGAAACGGGAATATCTTCAAATCAAATCTAGCCAGAAGCATTCTAAGAAACAGCTTAGGGATGTTTACATTCAAGTCACAGAGTTGAACATTCCCTTTCACAGAGCAGGTTTGAAACAATCTTCTCGTACTATCTGGCAGTGGACATTTTGAGCTCCTTGGGGCCTATGCTGAAAAAGGAAATATCTTCCGACAAAAACTAGACAGAAGCATTCGCAGAATCACGTTTGTGATGTGTGCACTCAACTGTCAGAATTGAACCTTGGTTTGGAGATTGCACTCTTGAAACACTCTTTTTGTAAAATCTGCAGGTGGATATTTGGCTAGCTTTGAGGATTTCGTTGGAAACGGTAATGTCTTCAAAGAAAATCTAGACAGAAGCATTCTCAGAAACACCTTCGTGATGTTTGCAATCAAGTCACAGAGTTGAACCTTCCGTTTCATAGAGCAGGTTGGAAACACTCTTTTTGTAGTATCTGGAAGTGGACATTTGGAGTGCTTTCAGGCCTATGGTGAAAAAGGAAATATCTTCCCATAAAAACGACATAGAAGCTATCTCAGGAACTTGTTTATGATGCATCCAATCAACTAACAGTGTTGAACCTTTGTACTGACAGAGCAGTGTGAAACACTCTTTTTTTTGGAATCTGCAAGTGGATATTTGGATCGCTTTGAGGATTTCGTTGGAAACGGGATGCAATATAAAACGTACACAGCAGCATACTCAGAAAATACTTTGCCATATTTCCATTCAAGTCACAGAGTGGAACATTCCCATTCATAGAGCAGGTTTGACACACTCTTTTTGTAGTATCTGGAAGTGGACATTTGGAGCGCTTTCTGAACTATGGTGAAAAAGGAAATATCTTCCAATGAAAACAAGACAGAAGCATTCTGAGAAACTTATTTGTGATGTGTGTCCTCAACTAACGGACTTGAACCTTTCGTTTCATGCAGTACTTCTGGAACACTCTTTTTGAAGATTCTGCATGCGGATATTTGGATAGCTTTGAGGATTTCGTTGGAAACGGGCTTACATATAAAAATTAGACAGCAGCATTCTCAGAAACTTCTTTGTGGTGTCTGCATTCAAGTCACAGAATTGAACATCCCCTCACATAGAGCAGTTGTGCAGCACTCTATTTGTAGTATCTCGAAGTGGACATTTGGAGGGCTTTGTAGCCTATCTGGAAAAAGGAAATATCTTCCCATGAATGCGAGATAGAAGTAATCTCAGAAACATGTTTATGCTGTATGTACTCAACTAACTGTGCTGAACATTTCTATTGATAGAGCAGTTTTGAGACACTCTTCTTTTGGAATCTGCAAGTGGATATTTGGATAGATTTGAGGATTTCCCTTGGAAACGGGATTATATATAAAAAGTAGACAGCCGCATTCTCAGAAACTTCTTTGTGATGTTTGCATCCAGCTCTCAGAGTTGAACATTCCCTTTCGTAGAGTAGGTTTGAAACCCTCTTTTTATAGTGTCTGGAAGCGGGCATTTGGAGCGCTTTCAGGCCTATGCTGAAAAAGGAAATATCTACCTATAGAAACTAGACAGAAGCATTCTGAGAATCACGTTTGTGATGTGGGTACTCAACTAACAGTGTTGATCCATTCTTTTGATACAGCAGATTTGAACCACACTTTTTGTAGAATCTGCAAGTGGATATTTGGATAGCTGTGAGGATTTCCTTGGAAACGGGAATGCCTTCATAGAAAATTTAGACAGAAGCATTCTCAGAACCTTGATTGTGATGTGTGTTCTCCACTAACAGAGTTGAACCTTTCTTTTGACAGAACTGTTCTGAAACATTCTTTTTATAGAATCTGGAAGTGGATATTTGGAAAGCCTTGAGGATTTCGTTGGAAACGGGAATATCTTCAAATCAAATCTAGCCAGAAGCATTCTAAGAAACATCTTAGGGATGTTTACATTCAAGTCACAGAGTTGAACATTCCCTTTCACAGAGCAGGTTTGAAACAATCTTCTCGTACTATCTGGCAGTGGACATTTTGAGCTCCTTGGGGCCTATGCTGAAAAAGGAAATATCTTCCGACAAAAACTAGACAGAAGCATTCGCAGAATCACGTTTGTGATGTGTGCACTCAACTGTCAGAATTGAACCTTGGTTTGGACAGAGCACTTTTGAAACACTCTTTTTGTAGAATCTGCAGGTGGATATTTGGCTAGCTTTGAGGATTTCGTTGGAAACGGGAATGTCTTCAAAGAAAATCTAGACAGAAGCATTCTCAGAAACACCTTCGTGATGTTTGCAATCAAGTCACAGAGTTGAACCTTCCGTTTCATAGAGCAGGTTGGAAACACTCTTTTTGTAGTATCTGGAAGTGGACATTTGGAGCGCTTTCAGGCCTATGGTGAAAAAGGAAATATCTTCCCATAAAAACGACATAGAAGCTATCTCAGGAACTTGTTTATGATGCATCTAATCAACTAACAGTGTTGAACCTTTGTACTGACAGAGCAGTTTGAAACACTCTTTTTTTGGAATCTGCAAGTGGATATTTGGATCGCTTTGAGGATTTCGTTGGAAACGGGATGCAATATAAAACGTACACAGCAGCATACTCAGAAAATACTTTGCCATATTTCCATTCAAGTCACAGAGTGGAACATTCCCATTCATAGAGCAGGTTGGAAACACTCTTTTTGGAGTATCTGGAAGTGGACATTTGGAGCGCTTTCTGAACTATGGTGAAAAAGGAAATATCTTCCAATGAAAACAAGACAGAAGCATTCTGAGAAACTTATTTGTGATGTGTGTCCTCAACAAACGGACTTGAACCTTTCGTTTCATGCAGTACTTCTGGAACACTCTTTTTGAAGATTCTGCATGCGGATATTTGGATAGCTTTGAGGATTTCGTTGGAAACGGGCTTACATGTAAAAATTAGACAGCAGCATTCTCAGAAACTTCTTTGTGGTGTCTGCATTCAAGTCACAGAATTGAACTTCCCCTCACATAGAGCAGTTGTGCAGCACTCTATTTGTAGTATCTGGAAGTGGACATTTGGAGGGCTTTGTAGCCTATCTGGAAAAAGGAAATATCTTCCCATGAATGCGAGATAGAAGTAATCTCAGAAACATGTTTATGCTGTATCTACTCAACTAACTGTGCTGAACATTTCTATTGATAGAGCAGTTTTGAGACACTCTTCTTTTGGAATCTGCAAGTGGATATTTGGATAGATTTGAGGATTTCCTTTGAAACGGGATTATATATAAAAAGTAGACAGCAGCATTCTCAGAAACTTCTTTGTGATGTTTGCATCCAGCTCTCAGAGTTGAACATTCCCTTTCATAGAGTAGGTTTGAAACCCTCTTTTTATAGTGTCTGGAAGCGGGCATTTGGAGCGCTTTCAGGCCTATGCTGAAAAAGGAAATATCTACCTATAGAAACTAGACAGAAGCATTCTGAGAATCACGTTTGTGATGTGGGTACTCAACTAACAGTGTTGATCCATTCTTTTGATACAGCAGTTTTGAACCACACTTTTTGTAGAATCTGCAAGTGGATATTTGGATAGCTGTGAGGATTTCGTTGGAAACGGGAATGTCTTCATAGAAAATTTAGACAGAAGCATTCTCAGAACCTTGATTGTGATGTGTGTTCTCCACTAACAGAGTTGAACCTTTCTTTTGACAGAACTGTTCTGAAACATTCTTTTTATAGAATCTGGAAGTGGATATTTGGAAAGCTTTGAGGATTTCGTTGGAAACGGGAATATCTTCAAATAAAATCTAGCCAGAAGCATTCTAAGAAACATCTTAGGGATGTTTACATTCAAGTCACAGAGTTGAACATTCCCTTTCACAGAGCAGGTTTGAAACAATCTTCTCGTACTATCTGGCAGTGGACATTTTGAGCTCCTTGGGGCCTATGCTGAAAAAGGAAATATCTTCCGACAAAAACTAGACAGAAGCATTCGCAGAATCACGTTTGTGATGTGTGCACTCAACTGTCAGAATTGAACCTTGGTTTGGACAGAGCACTTTTGAAACACTCTTTTTGTAGAATCTGCAGGTGGATATTTGGCTACCTTTGAGGATTTCGTTGGAAACGGTAATGTCTTCAAAGAAAATCTAGACAGAAGCATTCTCAGAAACACCTTCGTGATGTTTGCAATCAAGTCACAGAGTTGAACCTTCCGTTTCATAGAGCAGGTTGGAAACACTCTTTTTGTAGTATCTGGAAGTGGACATTTGGAGGGCTTTGTAGCCTATCTGGAAAAAGGAAATATCTTCCCATGAATGCGAGATAGAAGTAATCTCAGAAACATGTTTATGCTGTATCTACTCAACTAACTGTGCTGAACATTTCTATTGATAGAGCAGTTTTGAGACACTCTTCTTTTGGAATCTGCAAGTGGATATTTGGATAGATTTGAGGATTTCGTTGGAAACGGGATTATATATAAAAAGTAGACAGCAGCATTCTCAGAAACTTCTTTGTGATGTTTGCATCCAGCTCTCAGAGTTGAACATTCCCTTTCATAGAGTAGGTTTGAAACCCTCTTTTTATAGTGTCTGGAAGCGGGCATTTGGAGCGCTTTCAGGCCTATGCTGAAAAAGGAAATATCTACCTATAGAAACTAGACAGAAGCATTCTGAGAATCACGTTTGTGATGTGGGTACTCAACTAACAGTGTTGATCCATTCTTTTGATACAGCAGTTTTGAACCACACTTTTTGTAGAATCTGCAAGTGGATATTTGGATAGCTGTGAGGATTTCGTTGGAAACGGGAATGTCTTCATAGAAAATTTAGACAGAAGCATTCTCAGAACCTTGATTGTGATGTGTGTTCTCCACTAACAGAGTTGAACCTTTCTTTTGACAGAACTGTTCTGAAACATTCTTTTTATAGAATCTGGAAGTGGATATTTGGAAAGCTTTGAGGATTTCGTTGGAAACGGGAATATCTTCAAATCAAATCTAGCCAGAAGCATTCTAAGAAACATCTTAGGGATGTTTACATTCAAGTCACAGAGTTGAACATTCCCTTTCACAGAGCAGGTTTGAAACAATCTTCTCGTACTATCTGGCAGTGGACATTTTGAGCTCCTTGGGGCCTATGCTGAAAAAGGAAATATCTTCCGACAAAAACTAGACAGAAGCATTCGCAGAATCACGTTTGTGATGTGTGCACCCAACTGTCAGAATTGAACCTTGGTTTGGACAGAGCACTTTTGAAACACTCTTTTTGTAGAATCTGCAGGTGGATATTTGGCTAGCTTTGAGGATTTCGTTGGAAACGGTAATGTCTTCAAAGAAAATCTAGACAGAAACATTCTCAGAAACACCTTCGTGATGTTTGCAATCAAGTCACAGAGTTGAACCTTCCGTTTCATAGAGCAGGTTGGAAACACTCTTTTTGTAGTATCTGGAAGTGGACATTTGGAGCGCTTTCAGGCCTATGGTGAAAAAGGAAATATCTTCCCATAAAAACGACATAGAAGCTATCTCAGGAACTTGTTTATGATGCATCTAATCAACTAACAGTGTTGAACCTTTGTACTGACAGAGCAGTTTGAAACACTCTTTTTTTGGAATCTGCAAGTGGATATTTGGATCGCTTTGAGGATTTCGTTGGAAACGGGATGCAATATAAAACGTACACAGCAGCATACTCAGAAAATACTTTGCCATATTTCCATTCAAGTCACAGAGTGGAACATTCCCATTCATAGAGCAGGTTTGAAACACTCTTTTTGGAGTATCTGGAAGTGGACATTTGGAGCGCTTTCTGAACTATGGTGAAAAAGGAAATATCTTCCAATGAAAACAAGACAGAAGCATTCTGAGAAACTTATTTGTGATGTGTGTCCTCAACAAACGGACTTGAACCTTTCGTTTCATGCAGTACTTCTGGAACACTCTTTTTGAAGATTCTGCATGCGGATATTTGGATAGCTTTGAGGATTTCGTTGGAAACGGGCTTACATGTAAAAATTAGACAGCAGCATTCTCAGAAACTTCTTTGTGGTGTCTGCATTCAAGTCACAGAATTGAACTTCCCCTCACATAGAGCAGTTGTGCAGCACTCTATTTGTAGTATCTGGAAGTGGACATTTGGAGGGCTTTGTAGCCTATCTGGAAAAAGGAAATATCTTCCCATGAATGCGAGATAGAAGTAATCTCAGAAACATGTTTATGCTGTATCTACTCAACTAACTGTGCTGAACATTTCTATTGATAGAGCAGTTTTGAGACACTCTTCTTTTGGAATCTGCAAGTGGATATTTGGATAGATTTGAGGATTTCGTTGGAAACGGGATTATATATCAAAAGCAGACAGCAGCATTCTCAGAAACTTCTTTGTGATGTTTGCATCCAGCTCTCAGAGTTGAACATTCCCTTTCATAGAGTAGGTTTGAAACCCTCTTTTTATAGTGTCTGGAAGCGGGCATTTGGAGCGCTTTCAGGCCTATGCTGAAAAAGGAAATATCTACCTATAGAAACTAGACAGAAGCATTCTGAGAATCACGTTTGTGATGTGGGTACTCAACTAACAGTGTTGATCCATTCTTTTGATACAGCAGTTTTGAACCACACTTTTTGTAGAATCTGCAAGTGGATATTTGGATAGCTGTGAGGATTTCGTTGGAAACGGGAATGTCTTCATAGAAAATTTAGACAGAAGCATTCTCAGAACCTTGATTGTGATGTGTGTTCTCCACTAACAGAGTTGAACCTTTCTTTTGACAGAACTGTTCTGAAACATTCTTTTTATAGAATCTGGAAGTGGATATTTGGAAAGCTTTGAGGATTTCGTTGGAAACGGGAATATCTTCCAATCAAATCTAGCCAGAAGCATTCTAAGAAACATCTTAGGGATGTTTACATTCAAGTCACAGAGTTGAACATTCCCTTTCACAGAGCAGGTTTGAAACAATCTTCTCGTACTATCTGGCAGTGGACATTTTGAGCTCCTTGGGGCCTATGCTGAAAAAGGAAATATCTTCCGACAAAAACTAGACAGAAGCATTCGCAGAATCACGTTTGTGATGTGTGCACTCAACTGTCAGAATTGAACCTTGGTTTGGACAGAGCACTTTTGAAACACTCTTTTTGTAGAATCTGCAGGTGGATATTTGGCTAGCTTTGAGGATTTCGTTGCAAACGGTAATGTCTTCAAAGAAAATCTAGACAGAAGCATTCTCAGAAACACCTTCGTGATGTTTGCAATCAAGTCACAGAGTTGAACCTTCCGTTTCATAGAGCAGGTTGGAAACACTCTTTTTGTAGTATCTGGAAGTGGACATTTGGAGGGCTTTGTAGCCTATCTGGAAAAAGGAAATATCTTCCCATGAATGCGAGATAGAAGTAATCTCAGAAACATGTTTATGCTGTATCTACTCAACTAACTGTGCTGAGCATTTCTATTGATAGAGCAGTTTTGAGACACTCTTCTTTTGGAATCTGCAAGTGGATATTTGGATAGATTTGAGGATTTCGTTGGAAACGGGATTATATATCAAAAGTAGACAGCAGCATTCTCAGAAACTTCTTTGTGATGTTTGCATCCAGCTCTCAGAGTTGAACATTCCCTTTCATAGAGTAGGTTTGAAACCCTCTTTTTATAGTGTCTGGAAGCGGGCATTTGGAGCGCTTTCAGGCCTATGCTGAAAAAGGAAATATCTACCTACAGAAACTAGACAGAAGCATTCTGAGAATCACGTTTGTGATGTGGGTACTCAACTAACAGTGTTGATCCATTCTTTTGATACAGCAGTTTTGAACCACACTTTTTGTAGAATCTGCAAGTGGATATTTGGATAGCTGTGAGGATTTCGTTGGAAACGGGAATGTCTTCATCGAAAATTTAGACAGAAGCATTCTCAGAACCTTGATTGTGATGTGTGTTCTCCACTAACAGAGTTGAACCTTTCTTTTGACAGAACTGTTCTGAAACATTCTTTTTATAGAATCTGGAAGTGGATATTTGGAAAGATTTGAGGATTTCGTTGGAAACGGGAATATCTTCAAATAAAATCTAGCCAGAAGCATTCTAAGAAACATATTAGGGATGTTTACATTCAAGTCACAGAGTGGAACATTCCCTTTCGCAGAACAGGTTTGAAACAATCTTCTCGTACTATCTGGAAGTGGACATTTTGAGCTCCTTGGGGCCTATGCTGAAAAAGGAAATATCTTCCGACAAAAACTAGATAGAAGCATTCGCAGAATCACGTTTGTGATGTGTGCACTCAACTGTCAGAATTGAACCTTGGTTTGGACAGAGCACTTTTGAAACACTCTTTTTGTAGAATCTGCAGGTGGATATTTGGCTAGCTTTGAGGATTTCGTTGGAAACGGAAATGTCTTCAAAGAAAATCTAGACAGAAACATTCTCAGAAACACCTTCGTGATGTTTGCAATCAAGTCACAGAGTTGAACCTTCCGTTTCATAGAGCAGGTTGGAAACACTCTTTTTGTAGTATCTGGAAGTGGACATTTGGAGCGCTTTCAGGCCTATGGTGAAAAAGGAAATATCTTCCCATAAAAACGACATAGAATCTATCTCAGGAACTTGTTTATGACGCATCTAATCAACTAACAGTGTTGAACCTTTGTACTGACAGAGCCGTTTGAAACACTCTTTTTTTTGGAATCTGCAAGTGGATATTTGGATCGCTTTGAGGATTTCGTTGGAAACGGGATGCAATATAAAACGTACACAGCAGCATACTCAGAAAATACTTTGCCATATTTCCATTCAAGTCACAGAGTGGAACATTCCCATTCATAGAGCAGGTTTGAAACAGTCTTTTTGGAGTATCTGGAAGTGGACATTTGGAGCGCTTTCTGAACTATGGTGAAAAAGGAAATATCTTCCAATGAAAACAAGACAGAAGCATTCTGAGAAACTTATTTGTGATGTGTGTCCTCAACAAACGGACTTGAACCTTTCGTTTCATGCAGTACTTCTGGAACACTCTTTTTGAAGATTCTGCATGCGGATATTTGGATAGCTTTGAGGATTTCGTTGGAAACGGGCTTACATGTAAAAATTAGACAGCAGCATTCTCAGAAACTTCTTTGTGGTGTCTGCATTCAAGTCACAGAATTGAACTTCCCCTCACATAGAGCAGTTGTGCAGCACTCTATTTGTAGTATCTCGAAGTGGACATTTGGAGGGCTTTGTAGCCTATCTGGAAAAAGGAAATATCTTCCCATGAATGCGAGATAGAAGTAATCTCAGAAACATGTTTATGCTGTATCTATTCAACTAACTGTGCTGAACATTTCTATTGATAGAGCAGTTTTGAGACACTCTTCTTTTGGAATCTGCAAGTGGATATTTGGATAGATTTGAGGATTTCGTTGGAAACGGGATTATATATAAAAAGTAGACAGCAGCATTCTCAGAAACTTCTTTGTGATGTTTGCATCCAGCTCTCAGAGTTGAACATTCCCTTTCATAGAGTAGGTTTGAAACCCTCTTTTTATAGTGTCTGGAAGCGGGCATTTGGAGCGCTTTCAGGCCTATGCTGAAAAAGGAAATATCTACCTATAGAAACTAGACAGAAGCATTCTGAGAATCACGTTTGTGATGTGGGTACTCAACTAACAGTGTTGATCCATTCTTTTGATACAGCAGTTTTGAACCACACTTTTTGTAGAATCTGCAAGTGGATATTTGGATAGCTGTGAGGATTTCGTTGGAAACGGGAATGTCTTCATAGAAAATTTAGACAGAAGCATTCTCAGAACCTTGATTGTGATGTGTGTTCTCCACTAACAGAGTTGAACCTTTCTTTTGACAGAACTGTTCTGAAACATTCTTTTTATAGAATCTGGAAGTGGATATTTGGAAAGCTTTGAGGATTTCGTTGGAAACGGGAATATCTTCAAATCAAATCTAGCCAGAAGCATTCTAAGAAACATCTTAGGGATGTTTACATTCAAGTCACAGAGTTGAACATTCCCTTTCACAGAGCAGGTTTGAAACAATCTTCTCGTACTATCTGGCAGTGGACATTTTGAGCTCCTTGGGGCCTATGCTGAAAAAGGAAATATCTTCCGACAAAAACTAGACAGAAGCATTCGCAGAATCACGTTTGTGATGTGTGCACTCAACTGTCAGAATTGAACCTTGGTTTGGACAGAGCACTTTTGAAACACTCTTTTTGTAGAATCTGCAGGTGGATATTTGGCTAGCTTTGAGGATTTCGTTGGAAACGGTAATGTCTTCAAAGAAAATCTAGACAGAAGCATTCTCAGAAACACCTTCGTGATGTTTGCAATCAAGTCACAGAGTTGAACCTTCCGTTTCATAGAGCAGGTTGGAAACACTCTTTTTGTAGTATCTGGAAGTGGACATTTGGAGGGCTTTGTAGCCTATCTGGAAAAAGGAAATATCTTCCCATGAATGCGAGATAGAAGTAATCTCAGAAACATGTTTATGCTGTATCTACTCAACTAACTGTGCTGAACATTTCTATTGATAGAGCAGTTTTGAGACACTCTTCTTTTGGAATCTGCAAGTGGATATTTGGATAGATTTGAGGATTTCGTTGGAAACGGGATTATATATCAAAAGTAGACAGCAGCATTCTCAGAAACTTCTTTGTGATGTTTGCATCCAGCTCTCAGAGTTGAACATTCCCTTTCATAGAGTAGGTTTGAAACCCTCTTTTTATAGTGTCTGGAAGCGGGCATTTGGAGCGCTTTCAGGCCTATGCTGAAAAAGGAAATATCTACCTATAGAAACTAGACAGAAGCATTCTGAGAATCACGTTTGTGATGTGGGTACTCAACTAACAGTGTTGATCCATTCTTTTGATACAGCAGTTTTGAACCACACTTTTTGTAGAATCTGCAAGTGGATATTTGGATAGCTGTGAGGATTTCGTTGGAAACGGGAATGTCTTCATAGAAAATTTAGACAGAAGCATTCTCAGAACCTTGGTTGTGATGTGTGTTCTCCACTAACAGTAGTTGAACCTTTCTTTTGACAGAAATGTTCTGAAACATTCTTTTTATAGAATCTGGAAGTGGATATTTGGAAAGCTTTGAGGATTTCGTTGGAAACGAGAATATCTTCAAATAAAATCTAGCCAGAAGCATTCTAAGAAACATCTTAGGGATGTTTACATTCAAGTCACAGAGTTGAACATTCCCTTTCACAGAGCAGGTTTGAAACAATCTTCTCGTACTATCTGGCAGTGGACATTTTGAGCTCCTTGGGGCCTATGCTGAAAAAGGAAATATCTTCCGACAAAAACTAGACAGAAGCATTCGCAGAATCACGTTTGTGATGTGTGCACTCAACTGTCAGAATTGAACCTTGGTTTGGACAGAGCACTTTTGAAACACTCTTTTTGTAGAATCTGCTGGTGGATATTTGGCTAGCTTTGAGGATTTCGTTGGAAACGGTAATGTCTTCAAAGAAAATCTAGACGGAAGCATTCTCAGAAACACCTTCGTGATGTTTGCAATCAAGTCACAGAGTTGAACCTTCCGTTTCATAGAGCAGGTTGGAAACACTCTTTTTGTAGTATCTGGAAGTGGACATTTGGAGGGCTTTGTAGCCTATCTGGAAAAAGGAAATATCTTCCCATGAATGCGAGATAGAAGTAATCTCAGAAACATGTTTATGCTGTATCTACTCAACTAACTGTGCTGAACATTTCTATTGATAGAGCAGTTTTGAGACACTCTTCTTTTGGAATCTGCAAGTGGATATTTGGATAGATTTGAGGATTTCGTTGGAAACGGGATTATATATAAAAAGTAGACAGCAGCATTCTCAGAAACTTCTTTGTGATGTTTGCATCCAGCTCTCAGAGTTGAACATTCCCTTTCATAGAGTAGGTTTGAAACCCTCTTTTTATAGTGTCTGGAAGCGGGCATTTGGAGCGCTTTCAGGCCTATGCTTAAAATAGGAAATATCTACGTACAGAAACTAGACAGAAGCATTCTGAGAATCACGTTTGTGATGTGGGTACTCAACTAACAGTGTTGATCCATTCTTTTGATACAGCAGTTTTGAACCACACTTTTTGTAGAATCTGCAAGAGGATATTTGGATAGCTGTGAGGATTTCGTTGGAAACGGGAATGTCTTCAAAGAAAATCTAGACAGAAGCATTCTCAGAAACACCTTCGTGATGTTTGCAATCAAGTCACAGAGTTGAACCTTCCGTTTCATAGAGCAGGTTGGAAACACTCTTATTGTAGTATCTGGAAGTGGACATTTGGAGCGCTTTCAGGCCTATGGTGAAAAAGGAAATATCTTCCCATAAAAACGACATAGAAGGTATCTCAGGAACTTGTTTATGATGCATCTAATCAACTAACAGTGTTGAACCTTTGTACTGACAGAGCACTTTGAAACACTCTTTTTTTGGAATCTGCAAGTGGATATTTGGATCGCTTTGAGGATTTCGTTGGAAACGGGATGCAATATAAAACGTACACAGCAGCATACTCAGAAAATACTTTGCCATATTTCCATTCAAGTCAGAGAGTGGAACATTCCCATTCATAGAGCAGGTTGGAAACACTCTTTTTGGAGTATCTGGAAGTGGACATTTGGAGCGCTTTCTGAACTATGGTGAAAAAGGAAATATCTTCCAATGAAAACAAGACAGAAGCATTCTGAGAAACTTATTTGTGATGTGTGTCCTCAACAAACGGACTTGAACCTTTCGTTTCATGCAGTACTTCTGGAACACTCTTTTTGAAGATTCTGCATGCGGATATTTGGATAGCTTTGAGGATTTCGTTGGAAACGGGCTTACATGTAAAAATTAGACAGCAGCATTCTCAGAAACTTCTTTGTGGTGTCTGCATTCAAGTCACAGAATTGAACTTCCCCTCACATAGAGCAGTTGTGCAGCACTCTATTTGTAGTATCTGGAAGTGGACATTTGGAGGGCTTTGTAGCCTATCTGGAAAAAGGAAATATCTTCCCATGAATGCGAGATAGAAGTAATCTCAGAAACATGTTTATGCTGTATCTACTCAACTAACTGTGCTGAACATTTCTATTGATAGGGCAGTTTTGAGACACTCTTCTTTTGGAATCTGCAAGTGGATATTTGGATAGATTTGAGGATTTCGTTGGAAACGGGATTATATATAAAAAGTAGACAGCAGCATTCTCAGAAACTTCTTTGTGATGTTTGCATCCAGCTCTCAGCAGTTGAACATTCCCTTTCATAGAGTAGGTTTGAAACCCTCTTTTTATAGTGTCTGGAAGCGGGCATTTGGAGCGCTTTCAGGCCTATGCTGAAAAAGGAAATATCTACCTATAGAAACTAGACAGAAGCATTCTGAGAATCACGTTTGTGATGTGGGTACTCAACTAACAGTGTTGATCCATTCTTTTGATACAGCAGTTTTGAACCACACTTTTTGTAGAATCTGCAAGTGGATATTTGGATAGCTGTGAGGATTTCGTTGGAAACGGGAATGTCTTCATAGAAAATTTAGACAGAAGCATTCTCAGAACCTTGATTGTGATGTGTGTTCTCCACTAACAGAGTTGAACCTTTCTTTTGACAGAACTGTTCTGAAACATTCTTTTTATAGAATCTGGAAGTGGATATTTGGAAAGCTTTGAGGATTTCGTTGGAAACGGGAATATCTTCAAATAAAATCTAGCCAGAAGCATTCTAAGAAACATCTTAGGGATGTTTACATTCAAGTCACAGAGT
This sequence comes from Homo sapiens, assembly GCF_000001405.40. Classification (NCBI taxonomy): domain Eukaryota; kingdom Metazoa; phylum Chordata; class Mammalia; order Primates; family Hominidae; genus Homo; species Homo sapiens. The sequence goes on from NC_000008.11 coordinate 45,258,107, forward strand.
TGAACATTCCCTTTCACAGAGCAGGTTTGAAACAATCTTCTCGTACTATCTGGCAGTGGACATTTTGAGCTCCTTGGGGCCTATGCTGAAAAAGGAAATATCTTCCGACAAAAACTAGACAGAAGCATTCGCAGAATCACGTTTGTGATGTGTGCACTCAACTGTCAGAATTGAACCTTGGTTTGGACAGAGCACTTTTGAAACACTCTTTTTGTAGAATCTGCAGGTGGATATTTGGCTAGCTTTGAGGATTTCGTTGGAAACGGTAATGTCTTCAAAGAAAATCTAGACAGAAGCATTCTCAGAAACAGCGTCGTGATGTTTGCAATCAAGTCACAGAGTTGAACCTTCCGTTTCATAGAGCAGGTTGGAAACACTCTTTTTGTAGTATCTGGAAGTGGACATTTGGAGGGCTTTGTAGCCTATCTGGAAAAAGGAAATATCTTCCCATGAATGCGAGATAGAAGTAATCTCAGAAACATGTTTATGCTGTATCTACTCAACTAACTGTGCTGAACATTTCTATTGATAGAGCAGTTTTGAGACACTCTTCTTTTGGAATCTGCAAGTGGATATTTGGATAGATTTGAGGATTTCGTTGGAAACGGGATTATATATAAAAAGTAGACAGCAGCATTCTCAGAAACTTCTTTGTGATGTTTGCATCCAGCTCTCAGAGTTGAACATTCCCTTTCATAGAGTAGGTTTGAAACCCTCTTTTTATAGTGTCTGGAAGCGGGCATTTGGAGCGCTTTCAGGCCTATGCTGAAAAAGGAAATATCTACCTATAGAAACTAGACAGAAGCATTCTGAGAATCACGTTTGTGATGTGGGTACTCAACTAACAGTGTTGATCCATTCTTTTGATACAGCAGTTTTGAACCACACTTTTTGTAGAATCTGCAAGTGGATATTTGGATAGCTGTGAGGATTTCGTTGGAAACGGGAATGTCTTCATAGAAAATTTAGACAGAAGCATTCTCAGAACCTTGATTGTGATGTGTGTTCTCCACTAACAGAGTTGAACCTTTCTTTTGACAGAACTGTTCTGAAACATTCTTTTTATAGAATCTGGAAGTGGATATTTGGAAAGCTTTGAGGATTTCGTTGGAAACGGGAATATCTTCAAATCAAATCTAGCCAGAAGCATTCTAAGAAACATCTTAGGGATGTTTACATTCAAGTCACAGAGTTGAACATTCCCTTTCACAGAGCAGGTTTGAAACAATCTTCTCGTACTATCTGGCAGTGGACATTTTGAGCTCCTTGGGGCCTATGCTGAAAAAGGAAATATCTTCCGACAAAAACTAGACAGAAGCATTCGCAGAATCACGTTTGTGATGTGTGCACTCAACTGTCAGAATTGAACCTTGGTTTGGACAGAGCACTTTTGAAACACTCTTTTTGTAGAATCTGCAGGTGGATATTTGGCTAGCTTTGAGGATTTCGTTGGAAACGGTAATGTCTTCAAAGAAAATCTAGACAGAAGCATTCTCAGAAACACCTTCGTGATGTTTGCAATCAAGTCACAGAGTTGAACCTTCCGTTTCATAGAGCAGGTTGGAAACACTCTTTTTGTAGTATCTGGAAGTGGACATTTGGAGGGCTTTGTAGCCTATCTGGAAAAAGGAAATATCTTCCCATGAATGCGAGATAGAAGTAATCTCAGAAACATGTTTATGCTGTATCTACTCAACTAACTGTGCTGAACATTTCTATTGATAGAGCAGTTTTGAGACACTCTTCTTTTGGAATCTGCAAGTGGATATTTGGATAGATTTGAGGATTTCGTTGGAAACGGGATTATATATAAAAAGTAGACAGCAGCATTCTCAGAAACTTCTTTGTGATGTTTGCATCCAGCTCTCAGAGTTGAACATTCCCTTTCATAGAGTAGGTTTGAAACCCTCTTTTTATAGTGTCTGGAAGCGGGCATTTGGAGCGCTTTCAGGCCTATGCTGAAAAAGGAGATATCTACCTATAGAAACTAGACAGAAGCATTCTGAGAATCACGTTTGTGATGTGGGTACTCAACTAACAGTGTTGATCCATTCTTTTGATACAGCAGTTTTGAACCACACTTTTTGTAGAATCTGCAAGTGGATATTTGGATAGCTGTGAGGATTTCGTTGGAAACGGGAATGTCTTCATAGAAAATTTAGAGAGAAGCATTCTCAGAACCTTGATTGTGATGTGTGTTCTCCACTAACAGAGTTGAACCTTTCTTTTGACAGAACTGTTCTGAAACATTCTTTTTATAGAATCTGGAAGTGGATATTTGGAAAGCTTTGAGGATTTCGTTGGAAACGGGAATATCTTCAAATAAAATCTAGCCAGAAGCATTCTAAGAAACATCTTAGGGATGTTTACATTCAAGTCACAGAGTTGAACATTCCCTTTCACAGAGCAGGTTTGAAACAATCTTCTCGTACTATCTGGAAGTGGACATTTTGAGCTCCTTGGGGCCTATGCTGAAAAAGGAAATATCTTCCGACAAAAACTAGACAGAAGCATTCGCAGAATCACGTTTGTGATGTGTGCACTCAACTGTCAGAATTGAACCTTGGTTTGGACAGAGCACTTTTGAAACACTCTTTTTGTAGAATCTGCAGGTGGATATTTGGCTAGCTTTGAGGATTTCGTTGGAAACGGTAATGTCTTCAAAGAAAATCTAGACAGAAAACATTCTCAGAAACACCTTCATGATGTTTGCAATCAAGTCACAGTAGTTGAACCTTCCGTTTCATAGAGCAGGTTGGAAACACTCTTTTTGTAGTATCTGGAAGTGGACATTTGGAGCGCTTTCAGGCCTATGGTGAAAAAGGAAATATCTTCCCATAAAAACGACATAGAAGCTATCTCAGGAACTTGTTTATGATGCATCTAATCAACTAACAGTGTTGAACCTTTGTACTGACAGAGCAGTTTGAAACACTCTTTTTTTGGAATCTGCAAGTGGATATTTGGATCGCTTTGAGGATTTCGTTGGAAACGGGATGCAATATAAAACGTACACAGCAGCTTACTCAGAAAATACTTTGCCATATTTCCATTCAAGTCACAGAGTGGAACATTCCCATTCATAGAGCAGGTTGGAAACACTCTTTTTGGAGTATCTGGAAGTGGACATTTGGAGCGCTTTCTGAACTATGGTGAAAAAGGAAATATCTTCCAATGAAAACAAGACAGAAGCATTCTGAGAAACTTATTTGTGATGTGTGTCCTCAACAAACGGACTTGAACCTTTCGTTTCATGCAGTACTTCTGGAACACTCTTTTTGAAGATTCTGCATGCGGATATTTGGATAGCTTTGAGGATTTCGTTGGAAACGGGCTTACATGTAAAAATTAGACAGCAGCATTCTCAGAAACTTCTTTGTGGTGTCTGCATTCAAGTCACAGAATTGAACTTCCCCTCACATAGAGCAGTTGTGCAGCACTATATTTGTAGTATCTGGAAGTGGACATTTGGAGGGCTTTGTAGCCTATCTGGAAAAAGGAAATATCTTCCCATGAATGCGAGATAGAAGTAATCTCAGAAACATGTTTATGCTGTATCTACTCAACTAACTGTGCTGAACATTTCTATTGATAGAGCAGTTTTGAGACCCTCTTCTTTTGGAATCTGCAAGTGGATATTTGGATAGATTTGAGGATTTCGTTGGAAACGGGATTATATATAAAAAGTAGACAGCAGCATTCTCAGAAACTTCTTTGTGATGTTTGCATCCAGCTCTCAGAGTTGAACATTCCCTTTCATAGAGTAGGTTTGAAACCCTCTTTTTATAGTGTCTGGAAGCGGGCATTTGGAGCGCTTTCAGGCCTATGCTGAAAAAGGAAATATCTACCTATAGAAACTAGACAGAAGCATTCTGAGAATCAAGTTTGTGATGTGGGTACTCAACTAACAGTGTTGATCCATTCTTTTGATACAGCAGTTTTGAACCACACTTTTTGTAGAATCTGCAAGTGGATATTTGGATAGCTGTGAGGATTTCGTTGGAAACGGGAATGTCTTCATAGAAAATTTAGACAGAAGCATTCTCAGAACCTTGATTGTGATGTGTGTTCTCCACTAACAGAGTTGAACCTTTCTTTTGACAGAACTGTTCTGAAACATTCTTTTTATAGAATCTGGAAGTGGATATTTGGAAAGCTTTGAGGATTTCGTTGGAAACGGGAATATCTTCAAATCAAATCTAGCCAGAAGCATTCTAAGAAACATCTTAGGGATGTTTACATTCAAGTCACAGAGTTGAACATTCCCTTTCACAGAGCAGGTTTGAAACAATCTTCTCGTACTATCTGGAAGTGGACATTTTGAGCTCCTTGGGGCCTATGCTGAAAAAGGAAATATCTTCCGACAAAAACTAGACAGAAGCATTCGCAGAATCACGTTTGTGATGTGTGCACTCAACTGTCAGAATTGAACCTTGGTTTGGACAGAGCACTTTTGAAACACTCTTTTTGTAGAATCTGCAGGTGGATATTTGGCTAGCTTTGAGGATTTCGTTGGAAACGGTAATGTCTTCAAAGAAAATCTAGACAGAAGCATTCTCAGAAACACCTTCGTGATGTTTGCAATCAAGTCACAGAGTTGAACCTTCCGTTTCATAGAGCAGGTTGGAAACACTCTTTTTGTAGTATCTGGAAGTGGACATTGGGAGGGCTTTGTAGCCTATGTGGAAAAAGGAAATATCTTCCCATGAATGCGAGATAGAAGCTATCTCAGGAACTTGTTTATGATGCATCTAATCAACTAACAGTGTTGAACTTTTGTACTGACAGAGCAGTTTGAAACACTCTTTTTTTGGAATCTGCAAGTGGATATTTGGATCGCTTTGAGGATTTCGTTGGAAACGGGATGCAATATAAAACGTACACAGCAGCATACTCAGAAAATACTTTGCCATATTTCCATTCAAGTCACAGAGTGGAACATTCCCATTCATAGAGCAGGTTTGAAACACTCTTTTTGGAGTATCTGGAAGTGGACATTTGGAGCGCTTTCTGAACTATGGTGAAAAAGGAAATATCTTCCAATGAAAACAAGACAGAAGCATTCTGAGAAACTTATTTGTGATGTGTGTCCTCAACAAACGGACTTGAACCTTTCGTTTCATGCAGTACTTCTGGAACACTCTTTTTGAAGATTCTGCATGCGGATATTTGGATAGCTTTGAGGATTTCGTTGGAAACGGGCTTACATGTAAAAATTAGACAGCAGCATTCTCTGAAACTTCTTTGTGGTGTCTGCATTCAAGTCACAGAATTGAACTTCCCCTCACATAGAGCAGTTGTGCAGCACTCTATTTGTAGTATCTCGAAGTGGACATTTGGAGGGCTTTGTAGCCTATCTGGAAAAAGGAAATATCTTCCCATGAATGCGAGATAGAAGTAATCTCAGAAACATGTTTATGCTGTATCTACTCAACTAACTGTGCTGAACATTTCTATTGATAGAGCAGTTTTGAGACACTCTTCTTTTGGAATCTGCAAGTGGATATTTGGATAGATTTGAGGATTTCGTTGGAAACGGGATATATATAAAAAGTAGACAGCAGCATTCTCAGAAACTTCTTTGTGATGTTTGCATCCAGCTCTCAGAGTTGAACATTCCCTTTCATAGAGTAGGTTTGAAACCCTCTTTTTATAGTGTCTGGAAGCGGGCATTTAGAGCGCTTTCAGGCCTATGCTGAAAAAGGAAATATCTACCTATAGAAACTAGACAGAAGCATTCTGAGAATCACGTTTGTGATGTGGGTACTCAACTAACAGTGTTGATCCATTCTTTTGATACAGCAGTTTTGAACCACACTTTTTGTAGAATCTGCAAGTGGATATTTGGATAGCTGTGAGGATTTCGTTGGAAACGGGAATGTCTTCATAGAAAATTTAGACAGAAGCATTCTCAGAACCTTGATTGTGATGTGTGTTCTCCACTAACAGAGTTGAACCTTTCTTTTGACAGAACTGTTCTGAAACATTCTTGTTATAGAATCTGGAAGTGGATATTTGGAAAGCTTTGAGGATTTCGTTGGAAACGGGAATATCTTCAAATCAAATCTAGCCAGAAGCATTCTAAGAAACATCTTAGGGATGTTTACATTCAAGTCACAGAGTTGAACATTCCCTTTCACAGAGCAGGTTTGAAACAATCTTCTCGTACTATCTGGCAGTGGACATTTTGAGCTCCTTGGGGCCTATGCTGAAAAAGGAAATATCTTCCGACAAAAACTAGACAGAAGCATTCGCAGAATCACGTTTGTGATGTGTGCACTCAACTGTCAGAATTGAACCTTGGTTTGGACAGAGCACTTTTGAAACACTCTTTTTGTAGAATCTGCAGGTGGATATTTGGCTAGCTTTGAGGATTTCGTTGGAAACGGTAATGTCTTCAAAGAAAATCTAGACAGAAGCATTCTCAGAAACACCTTCGTGATGTTTGCAATCAAGTCACAGAGTTGAACCTTCCGTTTCATAGAGCAGGTTGGAAACACTCTTTTTGTAGTATCTGGAAGTGGACATTTGGAGGGCTTTGTAGCCTATGTGGAAAAAGGAAATATCTTCCCATGAATGCGAGATAGAAGTAATCTCAGAAACATGTTTATGCTGTATCTACTCAACTAACTGTGCTGAACATTTCTATTGATAGAGCAGTTTTGAGACACTCTTCTTTTGGAATCTGCAAGTGGATATTTGGATAGATTTGAGGATTTCGTTGGAAACGGGATTATATATCAAAAGTAGACAGCAGCATTCTCAGAAACTTCTTTGTGATGTTTGCATCCAGCTCTCAGAGTTGAACATTCCCTTTCATAGAGTAGGTTTGAAACCCTCTTTTTATAGTGTCTGGAAGCGGGCATTTGGAGCGCTTTCAGGCCTATGCTGAAAAAGGAAATATCTACCTATAAAAACTAGACAGAAGCATTCTGAGAATCACGTTTGTGATGTGGGTACTCAACTAACAGTGTTGATCCATTCTTTTGATACAGCAGTTTTGAACCACACTTTTTGTAGAATCTGCAAGTGGATATTTGGATAGCTGTGAGGATTTCGTTGGAAACGGGAATGTCTTCATAGAAAATTTAGACAGAAGCATTCTCAGAACCTTGATTGTGATGTGTGTTCTCCACTAACAGAGCTGAACCTTTCTTTTGACAGAACTGTTCTGAAACATTCTTTTTATAGAATCTGGAAGTGGATATTTGGAAAGCTTTGAGGATTTCGTTGGAAACGGGAATATCTTCAAATCAAATCTAGCCAGAAGCATTCTAAGAAACAGCTTAGGGATGTTTACATTCAAGTCACAGAGTTGAACATTCCCTTTCACAGAGCAGGTTTGAAACAATCTTCTCGTACTATCTGGCAGTGGACATTTTGAGCTCCTTGGGGCCTATGCTGAAAAAGGAAATATCTTCCGACAAAAACTAGACAGAAGCATTCGCAGAATCACGTTTGTGATGTGTGCACTCAACTGTCAGAATTGAACCTTGGTTTGGACAGAGCACTTTTGAAACACTCTTTTTGTAGAATCTGCAGGTGGATATTTGGCTAGCTTTGAGGATTTCGTTGGAAACGGTAATGTCTTCAAAGAAAATCTAGACAGAAGCATTCTCAGAAACACCTTCGTGATGTTTGCAATCAAGTCACAGGAGTTGAACCTTCCGTTTCATAGAGCAGGTTGGAAACACTCTTTTTGTAGTATCTGGAAGTGGACATTTGGAGGGCTTTGTAGCCTATCTGGAAAAAGGAAATATCTTCCCATGAATGCGAGATAGAAGCTATCTCAGGAAATTGTTTATGATGCATCTAATCAACTAACAGTGTTGAACCTTTGTACTGACAGAGCACTTTGAAACACTCTTTTTTTGGAATCTGCAAGTGGATATTTGGATCGCTTTGAGGATTTCGTTGGAAACGGGATGCAATATAAAACGTACACAGCAGCATACTCAGAAAATACTTTGCCATATTTCCATTCAAGTCACAGAGTGGAACATTCCCATTCATAGAGCAGGTTGGAAACACTCTTTTTGGAGTATCTGGAAGTGGACATTTGGAGCGCTTTCTGAACTATGGTGAAAAAGGAAATATCTTCCAATGAAAACAAGACAGAAGCATTCTGAGAAACTTATTTGTGATGTGTGTCCTCAACAAACGGACTTGAACCTTTCGTTTCATGCAGTACTTCTGGAACACTCTTTTTGAAGATTCTGCATGCGGATATTTGGATAGCTTTGAGGATTTCGTTGGAAACGGGCTTACATGTAAAAATTAGACAGCAGCATTCTCAGAAACTTCTTTGTGGTGTCTGCATTCAAGTCACAGAATTGAACTTCCCCTCACATAGAGCAGTTGTGCAGCACTCTATTTGTAGTATCTGGAAGTGGACATTTGGAGGGCTTTGTAGCCTATCTGGAAAAAGGAAATATCTTCCCATGAATGCGAGATAGAAGTAATCTCAGAAACATGTTTATGCTGTATCTACTCAACTAACTGTGCTGAACATTTCTATTGATAGAGCAGTTTTGAGACACTCTTCTTTTGGAATCTGCAAGTGGATATTTGGATAGATTTGAGGATTTCGTTGGAAACGGGATTATATATAAAAAGTAGACAGCAGCATTCTCAGAAACTTCTTTGTGATATTTGCATCCAGCTCTCAGAGTTGAACATTCCCTTTCATAGAGTAGGTTTGAAACCCTCTTTTTATAGTGTCTGGAAGCGGGCATTTGGAGCGCTTTCAGGTCTATGCTTAAAATAGGAAATATCTACCTACAGAAACTAGACAGAAGCATTCTGAGAATCACGTTTGTGATGTGGGTACTCAAGTAACAGTGTTGATCCATTCTTTTGATACAGCAGTTTTGAACCACACTTTTTGTAGAATCTGCAAGAGGATATTTGGATAGCTGTGAGGATTTCGTTGGAAACGGGAATGTCTTCAAAGAAAATCTAGACAGAAGCATTCTCAGAAACACCTTCGTGATGTTTGCAATCAAGTCACAGAGTTGAACCTTCCGTTTCATAGAGCAGGTTGGAAACACTCTTATTGTAGTATCTGGAAGTGGACATTTGGAGCGCTTTCAGGCCTATGGTGAAAAAGGAAATATCTTCCCATAAAAACGACATAGAAGCTATCTCAGGAACTTGTTTATGAGGCATCTAATCAACTAACAGTGTTGAACCTTTGTACTGACAGAGCAGTTTGAAACACTTTTTTTTTGGAATCTGCAAGTGGATATTTGGATCGCTTTGAGGATTTCGTTGGAAACGGGATGCAATATAAAACGTACACAGCAGCATACTCAGAAAATACTTTGCCATATTTCCATTCAAGTCACAGAGTGGAACATTCCCATTCATAGAGCAGGTTGGAAACACTCTTTTTGGAGTATCTGGAAGTGGACATTTGGAGCGCTTTCTGAACTATGGTGAAAAAGGAAATATCTTCCAATGAAAACAAGACAGAAGCATTCTGAGAAACTTATTTGTGATGTGTGTCCTCAACAAACGGACTTGAACCTTTCGTTTCATGCAGTACTTCTGGAACACTCTTTTTGAAGATTCTGCATGCGGATATTTGGATTGCTTTGAGGATTTCGTTGGAAACGGGCTTACATGTAAAAATTAGACAGCAGCATTCTCAGAAACTTCTTTGTGGTGTCTGCATTCAAGTCACAGAATTGAACTTCCCCTCACATAGAGCAGTTGTGCAGCACTCTATTTGTAGTATCTGGAAGTGGACATTTGGAGGGCTTTGTAGCCTATCTGGAAAAAGGAAATATCTTCCCATGAATGCGAGATAGTAGTAATCTCAGAAACATGTTTATGCTGTATCTACTCAACTAACTGTGCTGAACATTTCTATTGATAGAGCAGTTTTGAGACACTCTTCTTTTGGAATCTGCAAGTGGATATTTGGATAGATTTGAGGATTTCGTTGGAAACGGGATTATATATAAAAAGTAGACAGCAGCATTCTCAGAAACTTCTTTGTGATGTTTGCATCCAGCTCTCAGAGTTGAACATTCCCTTTCATAGAGTAGGTTTGAAACCCTCTTTTTATAGTGTCTGGAAGCGGGCATTTGGAGCGCTTTCAGGCCTATGCTTAAAATAGGAAATATCTACCTACAGAAACTAGACAGAAGCATTCTGAGAATCACGTTTGTGATGTGGGTACTCAACTAACAGTGTTGATCCATTCTTTTGATACAGCAGTTTTGAACCACACTTTTTGTAGAATCTGCAAGAGGATATGTGGATAGCTGTGAGGATTTCGTTGGAAACGGGAATGTCTTCAAAGAAAATCTAGACAGAAGCATTCTCAGAAACACCTTTCGTGATGTTTGCAATCAAGTCACAGAGTTGAACCTTCCGTTTCATAGAGCAGGTTGGAAACACTCTTATTGTAGTATCTGGAAGTGGACATTTGGAGCGCTTTCAGGCCTATGGTGAAAAAGGAAATATCTTCCCATAAAAACGACATAGAAGCTATCTCAGGAACTTGTTTATGATGCATCTAATCAACTAACAGTGTTGAACCTTTGTACTGACAGAGCAGTTTGAAACACTCTTTTTTTGGAATCTGCAAGTGGATATTTGGATCGCTTTGAGGATTTCGTTGGAAACGGGATGCAATATAAAACGTACACAGCAGCATACTCAGAAAATACTTTGCCATATTTCCATTCAAGTCACAGAGTGAAACATTCCCATTCATAGAGCAGGTTGGAAACACTCTTTTTGGAGTATCTGGAAGTGGACATTTGGAGCGCTTTCTGAACTATGGTGAAAAAGGAAATATCTTCCAATGAAAACAAGACAGAAGCATTCTGAGAAACTTATTTGTGATGTGTGTCCTCAACAAACGGACTTGAACCTTTCGTTTCATGCAGTACTTCTGGAACACTCTTTTTGAAGATTCTGCATGCGGATATTTGGATAGCTTTGAGGATTTCGTTGGAAACGGGCTTACATGTAAAAATTAGACAGCAGCATTCTCAGAAACTTCTTTGTGGTGTCTGCATTCAAGTCACAGAATTGAACTTCCCCTCACATAGAGCAGTTGTGCAGCACTCTATTTGTAGTATCTGGAAGTGGACATTTGGAGGGCTTTGTAGCCTATGTGGAAAAAGGAAATATCTTCCCATGAATGCGAGATAGAAGTAATCTCAGAAACATGTTTATGCTGTATCTACTCAACTAACTGTGCTGAACATTTCTATTGATAGAGCAGTTTTGAGACACTCTTCTTTTGGAATCTGCAAGTGGATATTTGGATAGATTTGAGGATTTCGTTGGAAACGGGATTATATATAAAAAGTAGACAGCAGCATTCTCAGAAACTTCTTTGTGATGTTTGCATCCAGCTCTCAGAGTTGAACATTCCCTTTCATAGAGTAGGTTTGAAACCCTCTTTTTATAGTGTCTGGAAGCGGGCATTTGGAGCGCTTTCAGGCCTATGCTGAAAAAGGAAATATCTACCTATAGAAACTAGACAGAAGCATTCTGAGAATCACGTTTGTGATGTGGGTACTCAACTAACAGTGTTGATCCATTCTTTTGATACAGCAGTTTTGAACCACTCTTTTTGTAGAATCTGCAAGTGGATATTTGGATAGCTGTGAGGATTTCGTTGGAAACGGGAATGTCTTCATAGAAAATTTAGACAGAAGCATTCTCAGAACCTTGATTGTGATGTGTGTTCTCCACTAACAGAGTTGAACCTTTCTTTTGACAGAACTGTTCTGAAACATTCTTTTTATAGAATCTGGAAGTGGATATTTGGAAAGCTTTGAGGATTTCGTTGGAAACGGGAATATCTTCAAATCAAATCTAGCCAGAAGCATTCTAAGAAACATCTTAGGGATGTTTACATTCAAGTCACAGAGTTGAACATTCCCTTTCACAGAGCAGGTTTGAAACAATCTTCTCGTACTATCTGGCAGTGGACATTTTGAGCTCCTTGGGGCCTATGCTGAAAAAGGAAATATCTTCCGACAAAAACTAGACAGAAGCATTCGCAGAATCACGTTTGTGATGTGTGCACTCAACTGTCAGAATTGAACCTTGGTTTGGAGAGAGCACTCTTGAAACACTCTTTTTGTAGAATCTGCAGGTGGATATTTGGCTAGCTTTGAGGATTTCGTTGGAAACGGTAATGTCTTCAAAGAAAATCTAGACAGAAGCATTCTCAGAAACACCTTCGTGATGTTTGCAATCAAGTCACAGAGTTGAACCTTCCGTTTCATAGAGCAGGTTGGAAACACTCTTATTGTAGTATCTGGAAGGGGACATTTGGAGCGCTTTCAGGCCTATGGTGAAAAAGGAAATATCTTCCCATAAAAACGACATAGAAGCTGTCTCAGGAAATTGTTTATGATGCATCTAATCAACTAACAGTGTTGAACCTTTGTACTGACAGAGCAGTTTGAAACACTCTTTTTTTGGAATCTGCAAGTGGATATTTGGATCGCTTTGAGGATTTCGTTGGAAACGGGATGCAATATAAAACGTACACAGCAGCATACTCAGAAAATACTTTGCCATATTTCCATTCAAGTCACAGAGTGGAACATTCCCATTCATAGAGCAGGTTTGAAACACTCTTTTTGGAGTATCTGGAAGTGGACATTTGGAGCGCTTTCTGAACTATGGTGAAAAAGGAAATATCTTCCAATGAAAACAAGACAGAAGCATTCTGAGAAACTTATTTGTGATGTGTGTCCTCAACAAACGGACTTGAACCTTTCGTTTCATGCAGTACTTCTGGAACACTCTTTTTGAAGATTCTGCATGCGGATATTTGGATAGCTTTGAGGATTTCGTTGGAAACGGGCTTATATGTAAAAATTAGACAGCAGCATTCTCAGAAACTTCTTTGTGGTGTCTGCATTCAAGTCACAGAATTGAACTTCCCCTCACATAGAGCAGTTGTGCAGCACTCTATTTGTAGTATCTGGAAGTGGACATTTGGAGGGCTTTGTAGCCTATCTGGAAAAAGGAAATATCTTCCCATGAATGCGAGATAGAAGTAATCTCAGAAACATGTTTATGCTGTATCTACTCAACTAACTGTGCTGAACATTTCTATTGATAGAGCAGTTTTGAGACACTCTTCTTTTGGAATCTGCAAGTGGATATTTGGATAGATTTGAGGATTTCGTTGGAAACGGGATTATATATCAAAAGTAGACAGCAGCATTCTCAGAAACTTCTTTGTGATGTTTGCATCCAGCTCTCAGAGTTGAACATTCCCTTTCATAGAGTAGGTTTGAAACCCTCTTTTTATAGTGTCTGGAAGCGGGCATTTGGAGCGCTTTCAGGCCTATGCTGAAAAAGGAAATATCTACCTATAGAAACTAGACAGAAGCATTCTGAGAATCACGTTTGTGATGTGGGTACTCAACTAACAGTGTTGATCCATTCTTTTGATACAGCAGTTTTGAACCACACTTTTTGTAGAATCTGCAAGTGGATATTTGGATAGCTGTGAGGATTTCGTTGGAAACGGGAATGTCTTCATAGAAAATTTAGACGGAAGCATTCTCAGAACCTTGATTGTGATGTGTGTTCTCCACTAACAGAGTTGAACCTTTCTTTTGACAGAACTGTTCTGAAACATTCTTTTTATAGAATCTGGAAGTGGATATTTGGAAAGCTTTGAGGATTTCGTTGGAAACGGGAATATCTTCAAATCAAATCTAGCCAGAAGCATTCTAAGAAACATCTTAGGGATGTTTACATTCAAGTCACAGAGTTGAACATTCCCTTTCACAGAGCAGGTTTGAAACAATCTTCTCGTACTATCTGGCAGTGGACATTTTGAGCTGCCTTGGGGCCTATGCTGAAAAAGGAAATATCTTCTGACAAAAACTAGACAGAAGCATTCGCAGAATCACGTTTGTGATGTGTGCACTCAACTGTCAGAATTGAACCTTGGTTTGGACAGAGCACTTTTGAAACACTCTTTTTGTAGAATCTGCAGGTGGATATTTGGCTAGCTTTGAGGATTTCGTTGGAAACGGTAATGTCTTCAAAGAAAATCTAGACAGAAGCATTCTCAGAAACACCTTCGTGATGTTTGCAATCAAGTCACAGAGTTGAACCTTCCGTTTCATAGAGCAGGTTGGAAACACTCTTTTTGTAGTATCTGGAAGTGGACATTTGGAGGGCTTTGTAGCCTATGTGGAAAAAGGAAATATCTTCCCATGAATGCGAGATAGAAGTAATCTCAGAAACATGTTTATGCTGTATCTACTCAACTAACTGTGCTGAACATTTCTATTGATAGAGCAGTTTTGAGACACTCTTCTTTTGGAATCTGCAAGTGGATATTTGGATAGATTTGAGGATTTCGTTGGAAACGGGATTATATATCAAAAGTAGACAGCAGCATTCTCAGAAACTTCTTTGTGATGTTTGCTTCCAGCTCTCAGAGTTGAACATTCCCTTTCATAGAGTAGGTTTGAAACCCTCTTTTTATAGTGTCTGGAAGCGGGCATTTGGAGCGCTTTCAGGCCTATGCTGAAAAAGGAAATATCTACCTATAGAAACTAGACAGAAGCATTCTGAGAATCACGTTTGTGATGTGGGTACTCAACTAACAGTGTTGATCCATTCTTTTGATACAGCAGTTTTGAACCACACTTTTTGTAGAATCTGCAAGTGGATATTTGGATAGCTGTGAGGATTTCGTTGGAAACGGGGAATGTCTTCAAAGAAAATCTAGATAGAAGCATTCTCAGAAACACCTTCGTGATGTTTGCAATCAAGTCACAGAGTTGAACCTTCCGTTTCATAGAGCAGGTTGGAAACACTCTTATTGTAGTATCTGGAAGTGGACATTTGGAGCGCTTTCAGGCCTATGGTGAAAAAGGAAATATCTTCCCATAAAAACGACATAGAAGCTGTCTCAGGAACTTGTTTATGATGCATCTAATCAACTAACAGTGTTGAACCTTTGTACTGACAGAGCAGTTTGAAACACTCTTTTTTTGGAATCTGCAAGTGGATATTTGGATCGCTTTGAGGATTTCGTTGGAAACGGGATGCAATATAAAACGTACACAGCAGCATACTCAGAAAATACTTTGCCATATTTCCATTCAAGTCACAGAGTGGAACATTCACATTCATAGAGCAGGTGTGAAACACTCTTTTTGGAGTATCTGGAAGTGGACATTTGGAGCGCTTTCTGAACTATGGTGAAAAAGGAAATATCTTCCAATGAAAACAAGACAGAAGCATTCTGAGAAACTTATTTGTGATGTGTGTCCTCAACAAACGGACTTGAACCTTTCGTTTCATGCAGTACTTCTGGAACACTCTTTTTGAAGATTCTGCATGCGGATATTTGGATAGCTTTGAGGATTTCGTTGGAAACGGGCTTACATGTAAAAATTAGACAGCAGCATTCTCAGAAACTTCTTTGTGGTGTCTGCATTCAAGTCACAGAATTGAACATCCCCTCACATAGAGCAGTTGTGCAGCACTCTATTTGTAGTATCTGGAAGTGGACATTTGGAGGGCTTTGTAGCCTATCTGGAAAAAGGAAATATCTTCCCATGAATGCGAGATAGAAGTAATCTCAGAAACATGTTTATGCTGTATCTACTCAACTAACTGTGCTGAACATTTCTATTGATAGAGCAGTTTTGAGACACTCTTCTTTTGGAATCTGCAAGTGGATATTTGGATAGATTTGAGGATTTCGTTGGAAACGGGATTATATATAAAAAGTAGACAGCAGCATTCTCAGAAACTTCTTTGTGATGTTTGCATCCAGCTCTCAGAGTTGAACATTCCCTTTCATAGAGTAGGTTTGAAACCCTCTTTTTATAGTGTCTGGAAGCGGGCATTTGGAGCGCTTTCAGGCCTATGCTGAAAAAGGAAATATCTACCTATAGAAACTAGACAGAAGCATTCTGAGAATCACGTTTGTGATGTGGGTACTCAACTAACAGTGTTGATCCATTCTTTTGATACAGCAGTTTTGAACCACACTTTTTGTAGAATCTGCAAGTGGATATTTGGATAGCTGTGAGGATTTCGTTGGAAACGGGAATGTCTTCATAGAAAATTTAGACAGAAGCATTCTCAGAACCTTGATTGTGATGTGTGTTCTCCACTAACAGAGTTGAACCTTTCTTTTGACAGAACTGTTCTGAAACATTCTTTTTATAGAATCTGGAAGTGGATATTTGGAAAGCTTTGAGGATTTCGTTGGAAACGGGAATATCTTCAAATCAAATCTAGCCAGAAGCATTCTAAGAAACATCTTAGGGATGTTTACATTCAAGTCACAGAGTTGAACATTCCCTTTCACAGAGCAGGTTTGAAACAATCTTCTCGTACTATCTGGCAGGGGACATTTTGAGCTCCTTGGGGCCTATGCTGAAAAAGGAAATATCTTCCGACAAAAACTAGACAGAAGCATTCGCAGAATCACGTTTGTGATGTGTGCACTCAACTGTCAGAATTGAACCTTGGTTTGGACAGAGCACTTTTGAAACACTCTTTTTGTAGAATCTGCAGGTGGATATTTGGCTAGCTTTGAGGATTTCGTTGGAAACGGTAATGTCTTCAAAGAAAATCTACACAGAAGCATTCTCAGAAACACCTTCGTGATGTTTGCAATCAAGTCACAGAGTTGAACCTTCCGTTTCATAGAGCAGGTTGGAAACACTCTTTTTGTAGTATCTGGAAGTGGACATTTGGAGGGCTTTGTAGCCTTTCTGGAAAAAGGAAATATCTTCCCATGAATGCGAGATAGAAGTAATCTCAGAAACATGTTTATGCTGTATCTACTCAACTAACTGTGCTGAACATTTCTATTGATAGAGCAGTTTTGAGACACTCTTCTTTTGGAATCTGCAAGTGGATATTTGGATAGATTTGAGGATTTCGTTGGAAACGGGATTATATATAAAAAGTAGACAGCAGCATTCTCAGAAACTTCTTTGTGATGTTTGCATCCAGCTCTCAGAGTTGAACATTCCCTTTCATAGAGTAGGTTTGAAACCCTCTTTTTATAGTGTCTAGAAGCGGGCATTTGGAGCGCTTTCAGGCCTATGCTTAAAATAGGAAATATCTACCTACAGAAACTAGACAGAAGCATTCTGAGAATCACGTTTGTGATGTGGGTACTCAACTAACAGTGTTGATCCATTCTTTTGATACAGCAGTTTTGAACCACACTTTTTGTAGAATCTGCAAGTGGATATTTGGATAGCTGTGAGGATTTCGTTGGAAACGGGAATGTCTTCATAGAAAATTTAGACAGAAGCATTCTCAGAACCTTGATTGTGATGTGTGTTCTCCACTAACAGAGTTGAACCTTTCTTTTGACAGAACTGTTCTGAAACATTCTTTTTATAGAATCTGGAAGTGGATATTTGGAAAGCTTTGAGGATTTCGTTGGAAACGGGAATATCTTCAAATCAAATCTAGCCAGAAGCATTCTAAGAAACATCTCAGGGATGTTTACATTCAAGTCACAGAGTTGAACATTCCCTTTCACAGAGCAGGTTTGAAACAATCTTCTCGTACTATCTGGCAGTGGACATTTTGAGCTCCTTGGGGCCTATGCTGAAAAAGGAAATATCTTCCGACAAAAACTAGACAGAAGCATTCGCAGAATCACGTTTGTGATGTGTGCACTCAACTGTCAGAATTGAACCTTGGTTTGGACAGAGCACTTTTGAAACACTCTTTTTGTAGAATCTGCAGGTGGATATTTGGCTAGCTTTGAGGATTTCGTTGGAAACGGTAATGTCTTCAAAGAAAATCTAGACAGAAGCATTCTCAGAAACACCTTCGTGATGTTTGCAATCAAGTCACAGAGTTGAACCTTCCGTTTCATAGAGCAGGTTGGAAACACTCTTTTTGTAGTATCTGGAAGTGGACATTTGGAGGGCTTTGTAGCCTATCTGGAAAAAGGAAATATCTTCCCATGAATGCGAGATAGAAGTAATCTCAGAAACATGTTTATGCTGTATCTACTCAACTAACTGTGCTGAGCATTTCTATTGATAGAGCAGTTTTGAGACACTCTTCTTTTGGAATCTGCAAGTGGATATTTGGATAGATTTGAGGATTTCGTTGGAAACGGGATTATATATCAAAAGTAGACAGCAGCATTCTCAGAAACTTCTTTGTGATGTTTGCATCCAGCTCTCAGAGTTGAACATTCCCTTTCATAGAGTAGGTTTGAAACCCTCTTTTTATAGTGTCTGGAAGCGGGCATTTGGAGCGCTTTCAGGCCTATGCTGAAAAAGGAAATATCTACCTATAGAAACTAGACAGAAGCATTCTGAGAATCACGTTTGTGATGTGGGTACTCAACTAACAGTGTTGATCCATTCTTTTGATACAGCAGTTTTGAACCACACTTTTTGTAGAATCTGCAAGTGGATATTTGGATAGCTGTGAGGATTTCGTTGGAAACGGGAATGTCTTCATAGAAAATTTAGATAGAAGCATTCTCAGAACCTTGTTTGTGATGTGTGTTCTCCACTAAGAGAGTTGAACCTTTCTTTTGACAGAACTGTTCTGAAACATTCTTTTTATAGAATCTGGAAGTGGATATTTGGAAAGCTTTGAGGATTTCGTTGGAAACGGGAATATCTTCAAATAAAATCTAGCCAGAAGCATTCTAAGAAACATCTTAGGGATGTTTACATTCAAGTCACAGAGTTGAACGTTCCCTTTCACAGAGCAGGTTTGAAACAATCTTCTCGTACTATCTGGAAGTGGACATTTTGTGCTCCTTGGGGCCTATGCTGAAAAAGGAAATATCTTCCGACAAAAACTAGACAGAAGCATTCGCAGAATCACGTTTGTGATGTGTGCACTCAACTGTCAGAATTGAACCTTTGTTTGGACAGAGCACTTTTGAAACACTCTTTTTGTAGAATCTGCAGGTGGATATTTGACTAGCTTTGAGGATTTCGTTGGAAATGGTAATGTCTTCAAAGAAAATCTAGACAGAAACATTTTCAGAAACAACTTCGTGATGTTTGCAATCAAGTCACAGAGTTGAACCTTCCGTTTCATAGAGCAGGTTGGAAACACTCTTTTTGTAGTATCTGGAAGTGGACATTTGGAGCGCTTTCAGGCCTATGGTGAAGAAGGAAATATCTTCCCATAAAAACGACATAGAAGCTATCTCAGGAACTTGTTTATGATGCATCCAATCAACTAACAGTGTTGAACCTTTGTCCTGACAGAGCAGTGTGAAACACTCTTTTTTTTGGAATCTGCAAGTGGATATTTGGATCGCTTTGAGGATTTCGTTGGAAACGGGATGCAATATAAAACGTACACAGCAGCATACTCAGAAAATACTTTGCCATATTTCCATTCAAGTCACAGAGTGGAACATTCCCATTCATAGAGCAGGTTGGAAACACTCTTTTTGTAGTATCTGGAAGTGGACATTTGGAGCGCTTTCTGAACTATGGTGAAAAAGGAAATATCTTCCAATGAAAACAAGACAGAAGCATTCTGAGAAACTTATTTGTGATGTGTGTCCTCAACTAACGGACTTGAACCTTTCGTTTCATGCAGTACTTCTGGAACACTCTTTTTGAAGATTCTGCATGCGGATATTTGGATAGCTTTGAGGATTTCGTTGGAAACGGGCTTACATATAAAAACTAGACAGCAGCATTCTCAGAAACTTCTTTGTGGTGTCTGCATTCAAGTCACAGAATTGAACATCCCCTCACATAGAGCAGTTGTGCAGCACTCTATTTGTAGTATCTCGAAGTGGACATTTGGAGGGCTTTGTAGCCTATCTGGAAAAAGGAAATATCTTCCCATGAATGCGAGATAGAAGTAATCTCAGAAACATGTTTATGCTGTATCTACTCAACTAACTGTGCTGAACATTTCTATTGATTGAGCAGTTTTGAGGCACTCTTCTTTTGGAATCTGCAAGTGGATATTTGGATAGATTTGACGATTTCGTTGGCAACGGGATCATATATAAAAAGTAGACAGCAGCATTCTCAGAAACTTCTTTGTGATGTTTGCATCCAGCTCTCAGAGTTGAACATTCCCTTTCATAGAGTAGGTTTGAAACCCTCTTTTTATAGTGTCTGGAAGCGGGCATTTGGAGCGCTTTCAGGCCTATGCTGAAAAAGGAAATATCTACCTATAGAAACTAGACAGAAGCATTCTGAGAATCACGTTTGTGATGTGGGTACTCAAGTAACAGTGTTGATCCATTCTTTTGATACAGCAGTTTTGAACCACACTTTTTGTAGAATCTGCAAGTGGATATTTGGATAGCTGTGAGGATTTCCTTGGAAACGGGAATGTCTTCATAGAAAATTTAGACAGAAACATTCTCAGAACCTTGATTGTGATGTGTGTTCTCCACTAACAGGGTTGAACCTTTCTTTTGACAGAACTGTTCTGAAACATTCTTTGTATAGAATCTGGAAGTGGATATTTGGAAAGCTTTGAGGATTTCGTTTGAAACGGGAATATCTTCAAATCAAATCTAGCCAGAAGCATTCTAAGAAACATCTTAGGGATGTTTACATTCAAGTCACAGAGTTGAACATTCCCTTTCACAGAGCAGGTTTGAAACAATCTTCTCGTACTATCTGGCAGTGGACATTTTGAGCTCCTTGGGGCCTATGCTGAAAAAGGAAATATCTTCCGACAAAAACTAGACAGAAGCATTCGCAGAATCACGTTTGTGATGTGTGCACTCAACTGTCAGAATTGAACCTTGGTTTGGACAGAGCACTTTTGAAACACTCTTTTTGTAGAATCTGCAGGTGGATATTTGGCTAGCTTTGAGGATTTCGTTGGAAACGGTAATGTCTTCAAAGAAAATCTAGACAGAAGCATTCTCAGAAACACCTTCGTGATGTTTGCAATCAAGTCACAGAGTTGAACCTTCCGTTTCATAGAGCAGGTTGGAAACACTCTTTTTGTAGTATCTGGAAGTGGACATTTGGAGGGCTTTGTAGCCTATCTGGAAAAAGGAAATATCTTCCCATGAATGCGAGATAGAAGTAATCTCAGAAAGATGTTTATGCTGTATCTACTCAACTAACTGTGCTGAACATTTCTATTGATAGAGCAGTTTTGAGACACTCTTCTTTTGGAATCTGCAAGTGGATATTTGGATAGATTTGAGGATTTCGTTGGAAACGGGATTATATATAAAAAGTAGACAGCAGCATTCTCAGAAACTTCTTTGTGATGTTTGCATCCAGCTCTCAGAGTTGAACATTCCCTTTCATAGAGTAGGTTTGAAACCCTCTTTTTATAGTGTCTGGAAGCGGGCATTTGGAGCGCTTTCAGACCTATGCTTAAAATAGGAAATATCTACCTACAGAAACTAGACAGAAGCATTCTGAGAATCTCGTTTGTGATGTGGGTACTCAACTAACAGTCTTGATCCATTCGTTTGATACAGCAGTTTTGAACCACACTTTTTGTAGAATCTGCAAGAGGATATTTGGATAGCTGTGAGGATTTCGTTGGAAACGGGAATGTCTTCAAAGAAAATCTAGACAGAAACATTCTCAGAAACACCTTCGTGATGTTTGCAATCAAGTCACAGAGTTGAACCTTCCGTTTCATAGAGCAGGTTGGAAACACTCTTATTGTAGTATCTGGAAGTGGACATTTGGAGCGCTTTCAGGCCTATGGTGAAAAAGGAAATATCTTCCCATAAAAACAACATAGAAGCTATCTCAGGAACTTGTTTATGAGGCATCTAATCAACTAACAGTGTTGAACCTTTGTACTGACAGAGCAGTTTGAAACACTCTTTTTTTGGAATCTGCAAGTGGATATTTGGATCGCTTTGAGGATTTCGTTGGAAACGGGATGCAATATAAAACGTACACAGCAGCATACTCAGAAAATTCTTTGCCATATTTCCATTCAAGTCACAGAGTGGAACATTCCCATTCATAGAGCAGGTTGGAAACACTCTTTTTGGAGTATCTGGAAGTGGACATTTGGAGCGCTTTCTGAACTATGGTGAAAAAGGAAATATCTTCCAATGAAAACAAGACAGAAGCATTCTGAGAAACTTATTTGTGATGTGTGTCCTCAACAAACGGACTTGAACCTTTCGTTTCATGCAATACTTCTGGAACACTCTTTTTGAAGATTCTGCATGCGGATATTTGGATAGCTTTGAGGATTTCGTTGGAAACGGGCTTACATGTAAAAATTAGACAGCAGCATTCTCAGAAACCTCTTTGTGGTGTCTGCATTCAAGTCACAGAATTGAACATCCCCTCACATAGAGCAGTTGTGCAGCACTCTATTTGTAGTATCTGGAAGTGGACATTTGGAGGGCTTTGTAGCCTATCTGGAAAAAGGAAATATCTTCCCATGAATGCGAGATAGAAGTAATCTCAGAAACATGTTTATGCTGTATCTACTCAACTAACTGTGCTGAACATTTCTATTGATAGAGCAGTTTTGAGACACTCTTCTTTTGGAATCTGCAAGTGGATATTTGGATAGATTTGAGGATTTCGTTGGAAACGGGATTATATATAAAAAGTAGACAGCAGCATTCTCAGAAAACTTCTTTGTGATGTTTGCATCCAGCTCTCAGAGTTGAACATTCCCTTTCATAGAGTAGGTTTGAAACCCCCTTTTTATACTGTCTGGAAGCGGGCATTTGCAGCGCTTTCAGGCCTATGCTGAAAAAGGAATTATCTACCTACAGAAACTAGACAGAAGCATTCTGAGAATCACGTTTGTGATGTGGGTACTCAACTAACAGTGTTGATCCATTCTTTTGATACAGCAGTTTTGAACCACCCTTTTTGTAGAATCTGCAAGTGGATATTTGGATAGCTGTGAGGATTTCGTTGGAAACGGGAATGTCTTCATAGAAAATTTAGACAGAAGCATTCTCAGAACCTGGATTGTGATGTGTGTTCTCCACTAACAGAGTTGAACCTTTCTTTTGACAGAACTGTTTTGAAACATTCTTTTTAGAGAATCTGGAAGTGGATATTTGGAAAGCTTTGAGGATTTCGTTGGAAACGGGAATATCTTCAAATAAAATCTAGCCAGAAGCATTCTAAGAAACATCTTAGGGATGTTTACATTCAACTCACAGAGTTGAACATTCCCCTTTCTCAGAGCAGGTTTGAAACAATCTTCTCGTACTATCTGGCAGTGGACATTTTGAGCTCCTTGGGGCCTATGCTGAAAAAGGAAATATCTTCCGACAAAAACTAGACAGAAGCATTCGCAGAATCACGTTTGTGATGTGTGCACTCAACTGTCAGAATTGAACCTTGGTTTGGACAGAGCACTTTTGAAACACTCTTTTTGTAGAATCTGCAGGTGGATATTTGGCTAGCTTTGAGGATTTCGTTGGAAACGGTAATGTCTTCAAAGAAAATCTAGACAGAAACATTCTCAGAAACACCTTCGTGATGTTTGAAATCAAGTCACAGAGTTGAACCTTCCCTTTCATAGAGCAGGTTGGAAACACTCTTTTTGTAGTATCTGGAAGTGGACATTTGGAGCGCTTTCAGGCCTATGGTGAAAAAGGAAATATCTTCCCATAAAAACGACATAGAAGCTATCTCAGGAACTTGTTTATGATGCATCCAATCAACTAACAGTGTTGAACCTTTGTACTGACAGAGCAGTGTGAAACACTCTTTTTTTTGGAATCTGCAAGTGGATATTTGGATCGCTTTGAGGATTTCGTTGGAAACGGGATGCAATATAAAAGTAAACAGCAGCATACTCAGAAAATACTTTGCCATATTTCCATTCAAGTCACAGAGTGTAACATTCCCATTCATAGAGCAGGTTTGACACACTCTTTTTGTAGTATCTGGAAGTGGACATTTGGAGCGCTTTCTGAACTATGGTGAAAAAGGAAATATCTTCCAATGAAAACAAGACAGAAGCATTCTGAGAAACTTATTTGTGATGTGTGTCCTCAACAAACGGACTTGAACCTTTCGTTTCATGCAGTACTTCTGGAACACTCTTTTTGAAGATTCTGCATGCGGATATTTGGATAGCTTTGAGGATTTCGTTGGAAACGGGCTTACATGTAAAAATTAGACAGCAGCATTCTCAGAAACTTCTTTGTGGTGTCTGCATTCAAGTCACAGAATTGAACTTCCCCTCACATAGAGCAGTTGTGCAGCACTCTATTTGTAGTATCTGGAAGTGGACATTTGGAGGGCTTTGTAGCCTATCTGGAAAAAGGAAATATCTTCCCATGAATGCGAGATAGAAGTAATCTCAGAAACATGTTTATGCTGTATCTACTCAACTAACTGTGCTGAACATTTCTATTGATAGAGCAGTTTTGAGACACTCTTCTTTTGGAATCTGCAAGTGGATATTTGGATAGATTTGAGGATTTCGTTGGAAACGGGATGATATATAAAAAGTAGACAGCAGCATTCTCAGAAACTTCTTTGTGATGTTTGCATCCAGCTCTCAGAGTTGAACATTCCCTTTCA
Source organism: Homo sapiens (assembly GCF_000001405.40). NCBI lineage: Eukaryota > Metazoa > Chordata > Mammalia > Primates > Hominidae > Homo > Homo sapiens. Next base: position 45,282,601 of record NC_000008.11, read on the forward strand.
TAGAGTAGGTTTGAAACCCTCTTTTTATAGTGTCTGGAAGCGGGCATTTGGAGCGCTTTCAGGCCTATGCTGAAAAAGGAAATATCTACCTATAGAAACTAGACAGAAGCATTCTGAGAATCACGTTTGTGATGTGGGTACTCAACTAACAGTGTTGATCCATTCTTTTGATACAGCAGTTTTGAACCACCCTTTTTGTAGAATCTGCAAGTGGATATTTGGATAGCTGTGAGGATTTCGTTGGAAACGGGAATGTCTTCATAGAAAATTTAGACAGAAGCATTCTCAGAACCTTGATTGTGATGTGTGTTCTCCACTAACAGAGTTGAACCTTTCTTTTGACAGAACTGTTCTGAAACATTCTTTTTATAGAATCTGGAAGTGGATATTTGGAAAGCTTTGAGGATTTCGTTGGAAACGGGAATATCTTCAAATAAAATCTAGCCAGAAGCATTCTAAGAAACATCTTAGGGATGTTTACATTCAAGTCACAGAGTTGAACATTCCCTTTCACAGAGCAGGTTTGAAACAATCTTCTCGTACTATCTGGCAGTGGACATTTTGAGCTCCTTGGGGCCTATGCTGAAAAAGGAAATATCTTCCGAAAAAAACTAGACAGAAGCATTCGCAGAATCACGTTTGTGATGTGTGCACTCAACTGTCAGAATTGAACCTTGGTTTGGACAGAGCACTTTTGAAACACTCTTTTTGTAGAATCTGCAGGTGGATATTTGGCTAGCTTTGAGGATTTCGTTGGAAACGGTAATGTCTTCAAAGAAAATCTAGACAGAAGCATTCTCAGAAACACCTTCGTGATGTTTGCAATCAAGTCACAGAGTTGAACCTTCCGTTTCATAGAGCAGGTTGGAAACACTCTTTTTGTAGTATCTGGAAGTGGACATTTGAAGGGCTTTGTAGCCTATGTGGAAAAAGGAAATATCTTCCCATGAATGCGAGATAGAAGTAATCTCAGAAACATGTTTATGCTGTATCTACTCAACTAACTGTGCTGAACATTTCTATTGATAGAGCAGTTTTGAGACACTCTTCTTTTGGAATCTGCAAGTGGATATTTGGAGAGATTTGAGGATTTCGTTGGAAACGGGATTATATATAAAAAGTAGACAGCAGCATTCTCAGAAACTTCTTTGTGATGTTTGCATCCAGCTCTCAGAGTTGAACATTCCCTTTCATAGAGTAGGTTTGAAACCCTCTTTTTATAGTGTCTGGAAGCGGGCATTTGGAGCGCTTTCAGACCTATGCTTAAAATAGGAAATATCTACCTACAGAAACTAGACAGAAGCATTCTGAGAATCTCGTTTGTGATGTGGGTACTCAACTAACAGTGTTGATCCATTCTTTTGATACAGCAGTTTTGAACCACACTTTTTGTAGAATCTGCAAGAGGATATTTGGATAGCTGTGAGGATTTCGTTGGAAACGGGAATGTCTTCAAAGAAAATCTAGACAGAAACATTCTCAGAAACACCTTCGTGATGTTTGCAATCAAGTCACAGAGTTGAACCTTCCGTTTCATAGAGCAGGTTGGAAACACTCTTATTGTAGTATCTGGAAGTGGACATTTGGAGCGCTTTCAGGCCTATGGTGAAAAAGGAAATATCTTCCCATAAAAACAACATAGAAGCTATCTCAGGAACTTGTTTATGATGCATCTAATCAACTAACAGTGTTGAACCTTTGTACTGACAGAGCAGTTTGAAACACTCTTTTTTTGGAATCTGCAAGTGGATATTTGGATCGCTTTGAGGATTTCGTTGGAAACGGGATGCAATATAAAACGTACACAGCAGCATACTCAGAAAATACTTTGCCATATTTCCATTCAAGTCACAGAGTGGAACATTCCCATTCATAGAGCAGGTTTGAAACACTCTTTTTGGAGTATCTGGAAGTGGACATTTGGAGCGCTTTCTGAACTATGGTGAAAAAGGAAATATCTTCCAATGAAAACAAGACAGAAGCATTCTGAGAAACTTATTTGTGATGTGTGTCCTCAACAAACGGACTTGAACCTTTCGTTTCATGCAGTACTTCTTGAACACTCTTTTTGAAGATTCTGCATGCGGATATTTGGATAGCTTTGAGGATTTCGTTGGAAACGGGCTTACATGTAAAAATTAGACAGCAGCATTCTCAGAAACTTCTTTGTGGTGTCTGCATTCAAGTCACAGAATTGAACTTCCCCTCACATAGAGCAGTTGTGCAGCACTCTATTTGTAGTATCTGGAAGTGGACATTTGGAGGGCTTTGTAGCCTATCTGGAAAAAGGAAATATCTTCCCATGAATGCGAGATAGAAGTAATCTCAGAAACATGTTTATGCTGTATCTACTCAACTAACTGTGCTGAACATTTCTATTGATAGAGCAGTTTTGAGACACTCTTCTTTTGGAATCTGCAAGTGGATATTTGGATAGATTTGAGGATTTCGTTGGAAACGGGATTATATATCAAAAGTAGACAGCAGCATTCTCAGAAACTTCTTTGTGATGTTTGCATCCAGCTCTCAGAGTTGAACATTCCCTTTCATAGAGTAGGTTTGAAACCCTCTTTTTATAGTGTCTGGAAGCGGGCATTTGGAGCGCTTTCAGGCCTATGCTGAAAAAGGAAATATCTACCTATAGAAACTAGACAGAAGCATTCTGAGAATCACGTTTGTGATGTGGGTACTCAACTAACAGTGTTGATCCATTCTTTTGATACAGCAGTTTTGAACCACACTTTTTGTAGAATCTGCAAGTGGATATTTGGATAGCTGTGAGGATTTCGTTGGAAACGGGAATGTCTTCATAGAAAATTTAGACAGAAGCATTCTCAGAACCTTGATTGTGGTGTGTGTTCTCCACTAACAGAGTTGAACCTTTCTTTTGACAGAACTGTTCTGAAACATTCTTTTTATAGAATCTGGAAGTGGATATTTGGAAAGCTTTGAGGATTTCATTGGAAACGGGAATATCTTCAAATAAAATCTAGCCAGAAGCATTCTAAGAAACATCTTAGGGATGTTTACATTCAAGTCACAGAGTTGAACATTCCCTTTCACAGAGCAGGTTTGAAACAATCTTCTCGTACTATCTGGCAGTGGACATTTTGAGCTCCTTGGGGCCTATGCTGAAAAAGGAAATATCTTCCGATAAAAACTAGACAGAAGCATTCGCAGAATCACGTTTGTGATGTGTGCACTCAACTGTCAGAATTGAACCTTGGTTTGGACAGAGCACTTTTGAAACACTCTTTTTGTAGAATCTGCAGGTGGATATTTGGCTAGCTTTGAGGATTTCGTTGGAAACGGTAATGTCTTCAAAGAAAATCTAGACAGAAGCATTCTCAGAAACACCTTCGTGATGTTTGCAATCAAGTCACAGAGTTGAACCTTCCGTTTCATAGAGCAGGTTGGAAACACACTTTTTGTAGTATCTGGAAGTGGACATTTGGAGGGCTTTGTAGCCTATCTGGAAAAAGGAAATATCTTCCCATGAATGCGAGATAGAAGCTATCTCAGGAACTTGTTTATGATGCATCTAATCAACTAACAGTGTTGAACCTTTGTACTGACAGAGCAGTTTGAAACACTCTTTTTTTGGAATCTGCAAGTGGATATTTGGATCGCTTTGAGGATTTCGTTGGAAACGGGATGCAATATAAAACGTACACAGCAGCATACTCAGAAAATACTTTGCCATATTTCCATTCAAGTCACAGAGTGGAACATTCCCATTCATAGAGCAGGTTTGAAACACTCTTTTTGGAGTATCTGGAAGTGGACATTTGGAGCGCTTTCTGAACTATGGTGAAAAAGGAAATATCTTCCAATGAAAACAAGACAGAAGCATTCTGAGAAACTTATTTGTGATGCGTGTCCTCAACTAACGGACTCGAACCTTTCGTTTCATGCAGTACTTCTGGAACACTCTTTTTGAAGATTCTGCATGCGGATATTTGGTTAGCTTTGAGGATTTCGTTGGAAACGGGCTTACATGTAAAAATTAGACAGCAGCATTCTCAGAAACTTCTTTGTGGTGTCTGCATTCAAGTCACAGAATTGAACATCCCCTCACATAGAGCAGTTGTGCAGCACTCTATTTGTAGTATCTCGAAGTGGACATTTGGAGGGCTTTGTAGCCTATCTGGAAAAAGGAAATATCTTCCCATGAATGCGAGATAGAAGTAATCTCAGAAACATGTTTATGCTGTATCTACTCAACTAACTGTGCTGAACATTTCTATTGATAGAGCAGTTTTGAGACACTCTTCTTTTGGAATCTGCAAGTGGATATTTGGATAGATTTGAGGATTTCGTTGGAAACGGGATTATATATAAAAAGTAGACAGCCGCATTCTCAGAAACTTCTTTGTGATGTTTGCATCCAGCTCTCAGAGTTGAACATTCCCTTTCGTAGAGTAGGTTTGAAACCCTCTTTTTATAGTGTCTGGAAGCGGGCATTTGGAGCGCTTTCAGGCCTATGCTGAAAAAGGAAATATCTACCTATAGAAACTAGACAGAAGCATTCTGAGAATCACGTTTGTGATGTGGGTACTCAACTAACAGTGTTGATCCATTCTTTTGATACAGCAGTTTTGAACCACACTTTTTGTAGAATCTGCAAGTGGATATTTGGATAGCTGTGAGGATTTCCTTGGAAACGGGAATGTCTTCATAGAAAATTTAGACAGAAGCATTCTCAGAACCTTGATTGTGATGTGTGTTCTCCACTAACAGGGTTGAACCTTTCTTTTGACAGAACTGTTTTGAAACATTCTTTTTATAGAATCTGGAAGTGGATATTTGGAAAGCTTTGAGGATTTCGTTGGAAACGGGAATATCTTCAAATCAAATCTAGCCAGAAGCATTCTAAGAAACATCTTAGGGATGTTTACATTCAAGTAACAGAGTTGAACATTCCCTTTCACAGAGCAGGTTTGAAACAATCTTCTCGTACTATCTGGAAGTGGACATTTTGAGCTCCTTGGGGCCTATGCTGAGAAAGGAAATAGCTTGCGACAAAAACTAGACAGAAGCATTCGCAGAATCACGTTTGTGATGTGTGCACTCAACTGTCAGAATTGAACCTTTGTTTGGACAGAGCACTTTTGAAACACTCTTTTTGTAGAATCTGCAGGTGGATATTTGGCTAGCTTTGAGGATTTCGTTGGAAACGGTAATGTCTTCAAAGAAAATCTAGACAGAAACATTCTCAGAAACACCTTCGTGATGTTTGCAATCAAGTCACAGAGTTGAACCTTCCGTTTCATAGAGCAGGTTGGAAACACTCTTTTTGTAGTATCTGGAAGTGGACATTTGGAGCGCTTTCAGGCCTATGGTGAAGAAGGAAATATCTTCCCATAAAAACGACATAGAAGCTATCTCAGGAACTTGTTTATGATGCATCCAATCAACTAACAGTGTTGAACCTTTGTACTGACAGAGCAGTGTGAAACACTCTTTTTTTTGGAATCTGCAAGTGGATATTTGGATCGCTTTGAGGATTTCGTTGGAAACGGGATGCAATATAAAACGTACACAGCAGCATACTCAGAAAATACTTTGCCATATTTCCATTCAAGTCACAGAGTGGAACATTCCCATTCATAGAGCAGGTTTGACACACTTTTTTTGTAGTATCTGGAAGTGGACATTTGGAGCGCTTTCTGAACTATGGTGAAAAAGGAAATATCTTCCAATGAAAACAAGACAGAAACATTCTGAGAAACTTATTTGTGATGTGTGTCCTCAACTAACGGACTTGAACCTTTCGTTTCATGCAGTACTTCTGGAACTCTCTTTTTAAAGATTCTGCATGCAGATATTTGGATAGCTTTGAGGATTTCGTTGGAAACGGGCTTACATATAAAAATTAGACAGCAGAATTCTCAGAAACTTCTTTGTGGTGTCTGCATTCAAGTCACAGTAATTGAACATCCCCTCACATAGAGCAGTTGTGCAGCACTCTATTTGTAGTATCTGGAAGTGGACATTTGGAGGGCATTGTAGCCTATCTGGAAAAAGGAAATATCTTCCCATGAATGCGAGATAGAAGTAATCTCAGAAACATGTTTATGCTGTATCTACTCAACTAACTGTGCTGAACATTTCTATTGATAGAGCAGTTTTGAGACACTCTTCTTTTGGAATCTGCAAGTGGATATTTGGATAGATTTGAGGATTTCGTTGGAAACGGGATTATATATCAAAAGTAGACAGCAGCATTCTCAGAAACTTCTTTGTGATGTTTGCATCCAGCTCTCAGAGTTGAACATTCCCTTTCACAGAGTAGGTTTGAAACCCCCTTTTTATAGTGTCTGGAAGCGGGCATTTGGAACGCTTTCAGGCCTATGCTGAAAAAGGAAATATCTACCTTCAGAAACTACACAGAAGCATTCTGAGAATCACGTTTGTGATGTGGGTACTCAACTAACAGTGTTGATCCATTCTTTTGATACAGCAGTTTTGAACCACCCTTTTTGTAGAATCTGCAAGAGGATATTTGGATAGCTGTGAGGATTTAGTTGGAAACGGGAATGTCTTCATAGAAAATTTAGACAGAAGCATTCTCAGAACCTTGATTGTGATGTGTGTTCTCCACTAACAGAGTTGAACCTTTCTTTTGACAGAACTGTTCTGAAACATTCTTTTTATAGAATCTGGAAGTGGATATTTGGAAAGCTTTGAGGATTTCGTTGGAAACGGGAATATCTTCAAATAAAATCTAGCCAGAAGCATTCTAAGAAACATCTTAGGGATGTTTACATTCAAGTCACAGAGTTGAACATTCCCTTTCACAGAGCAGGTTTGAAACAATCTTCTCGTACTATCTGGCAGTGGACATTTTGAGCTCTTTGGGGCCTATGCTGAAAAAGGAAATATCTTCCGACAAAAACTAGACAGAAGCATTCGCAGAATCACGTTTGTGATGTGTGCACTCAACTGTCAGAATTGAACCTTGGTTTGGACAGAGCACTTTTGAAACACTCTTTTTGTAGAATCTGCAGGTGGATATTTGGCTAGCTTTGAGGATTTCGTTGGAAACGGTAATGTCTTCAAAGAAAATCTAGACAGAAGCATTCTCAGAAACACCTTCGTGATGTTTGCAATCAAGTCACAGAGTTGAACCTTCCGTTTCATAGAGCAGGTTGGAAACACACTTTTTGGAGTATCTGGAAGTGGACATTTGGAGGGCTTTGTAGCCTATCTGGAAAAAGGAAATATCTTCCCATGAATGCGAGATAGAAGTAATCTCAGAAACATGTTTATGCTGTATCTACTCAACTAACTGTGCTGAACATTTCTATTGATAGAGCAGTTTTGAGACACTCTTCTTTTGGAATCTGCAAGTGGATATTTGGATAGATTTGAGGATTTCGTTGGAAACGGGATTATATATAAAAAGTAGACAGCAGCATTCTCAGAAACTTCTTTGTGATGTTTGCATCCAGCTCTCAGAGTTGAACATTCCCTTTCATAGAGTAGGTTTGAAACCCTCTTTTTATAGTGTCTGGAAGCGGGCATTTGGAGCGCTTTCAGGCCTATGCTGAAAAAGGAAATATCTACCTATAGAAACTAGACAGAAGCATTCTGAGAATCACGTTTGTGATGTGGGTACTCAACTAACAGTGTTGATCCATTCTTTTGATACAGCAGTTTTGAACCACCCTTTTTGTAGAATCTGCAAGTGGATATTTGGATAGCTGTGAGGATTTCGTTGGAAACGGGAATGTCTTCATAGAAAATTTAGACAGAAGCATTCTCAGAACCTGGATTGTGATGTGAGTTCTCCACTAACAGAGTTGAACCTTTCTTTGGACAGAACTGATTTGAAACATTCTTTTTATAGAATCTGGAAGTGGATATTTGGAAAGTTTTGAGGATTTCGTTGGAAATGGGAATATCTTCAAATAAAATCTAGCCAGAAGCATTCTAAGAAACATCTTAGGGATGTTTACATTCAAGTCACAGAGTTGAACATTCCCCTTTCTCAGAGCAGGTTTGAAACAATCTTCTCGTACTATCTGGCAGTGGACATTTTGAGCTCCTTGCGGCCTATGCTGAAAAAGGAAATATCTTCCGACAAAAACTAGACAGAAGCATTCGCAGAATCACGTTTGTGATGTGTGCACTCAACTGTCAGAATTGAACCTTGGTTTGGACAGAGCACTTTTGAAACACTCTTTTTGTAGAATCTGCAGGTGGATATTTGGCTAGCTTTGAGGATTTCGTTGGAAACGGTAATGTCTTCAAAGAAAATCTAGACAGAAGCATTCTCAGAAACACCTTCGTGATGTTTGCAATCAAGTCACAGAGTTGAACCTTCCGTTTCATAGAGCAGGTTGGAAACACTCTTTGTAGTATCTGGAAGTGGACATTTGGAGGGCTTTGTAGCCTATGTGGAAAAAGGAAATATCTTCCCATGAATGCGAGATAGAAGTAATCTCAGAAACATGTTTATGCTGTATCTACTCAACTAACTGTGCTGAACATTTCTATTGATAGAGCAGTTTTGAGACACTCTTCTTTTGGAATCTGCAAGTGGATATTTGGATAGATTTGAGGATTTTCGTTGGAAACGGGATTATATATCAAAAGTAGACAGCAGCATTCTCAGAAACTTCTTTGTGATGTTTGCATCCAGCTCTCAGAGTTGAACATTCCCTTTCATAGAGTAGGTTTGAAACCCTCTTTTTATAGTGTCTGGAAGCGGGCATTTGGAGCGCTTTCAGGCCTATGCTTAAAATAGGAAATATCTACCTACAGAAACTAGACAGAAGCATTCTGAGAATCACGTTTGTGATGTGGGTACTCAACTAACAGTGTTGATCCATTCTTTTGATACAGCAGTTTTGAACCACACTTTTTGTAGAATCTGCAAGAGGATATTTGGATAGCTGTGAGGATTTCGTTGGAAACGGGAATGTCTTCAAAGAAAATCTAGACAGAAGCATTCTCAGAAACACCTTCGTGATGTTTGCAATCAAGTCACAGAGTTGAACCTTCCGTTTCATAGAGCAGGTTGGAAACACTCTTATTGTAGTATCTGGAAGTGGACATTTGGAGCGCTTTCAGGCCTATGGTGAAAAAGAAATATCTTCCCATAAAAACGACATAGAATCTATATCAGGAACTTGTTTATGATGCATCTAATCAACTAACAGTGTTGAACCTTTGTACTGACAGAGCAGTTTGAAACACTCTTTTTTTGGAATCTGCAAGTGGATATTTGGATCGCTTTGAGGATTTCGTTGGAAACGGGATGCAATATAAAACGTACACAGCAGCATACTCAGAAAATACTTTGCCATATTTCCATTCAAGTCACAGAGTGGAACATTCCCATTCATAGCGCAGGTTGGAAACACTCTTTTTGGAGTATCTGGAAGTGGACATTTGGAGCGCTTTCTGAACTATGGTGAAAAAGGAAATATCTTCCAATGAAAACAAGACAGAAGCATTCTGAGAAACTTATTTGTGATGTGTGTCCTCAACAAACGGACTTGAACCTTTCGTTTCATGCAGTACTTCTGGAACACTCTTTTTGAAGATTCTGCATGCGGATATTTGGATAGCTTTGAGGATTTCGTTGGAAACGGGCTTACATGTAAAAATTAGACAGCAGCATTCTCAGAAACTTCTTTGTGGTGTCTGCATTCAAGTCACAGAATTGAACTTCCCCTCACATAGAGCAGTTGTGCAGCACTCTATTTGTAGTATCTGGAAGTGGACATTTGGAGGGCTTTGTAGCCTATCTGGAAAAAGGAAATATCTTCCCATGAATGCGAGATAGAAGTAATCTCAGAAACATGTTTATGCTGTATCTACTCAACTAACTGTGCTGAACATTTCTATTGATAGAGCAGTTTTGAGACACTCTTCTTTTGGAATCCGCAAGTGGATATTTGGATAGATTTGAGGATTTCGTTGGAAACGGGATTATATATAAAAAGTAGACAGCAGCATTCTCAGAAACTTCTTTGTGATGTTTGCATCCAGCTCTCAGAGTTGAACATTCCCTTTCATAGAGTAGGTTTGAAACCCTCTTTTTATAGTGTCTGGAAGCGGGCATTTTGAGCGCTTTCAGGCCTATGCTTAAAATAGGAAATATCTACCTACAGAAACTAGACAGAAGCATTCTGAGAATCACGTTTGTGATGTGGGTACTCAACTAACAGTGTTGATCCATTCTTTTGATACAGCAGTTTTGAACCACACTTTTTGTAGAACCTGCAAGTGGATATTTGGATAGCTGTGAGGATTTCGTTGGAAACGGGAATGTCTTCATAGAAAATTTAGACAGAAGCATTCTCAGAACCTTGATTGTGATGTGTGTTCTCCACTAACAGAGTTGAACCTTTCTTTTGACAGAACTGTTCTGAAACATTCTTTTTATAGAATCTGGAAGTGGATATTTGGAAAGCTTTGAGGATTTCGTTGGAAACGGGAATATCTTCAAATAAAATCTAGCCAGAAGCATTCTAATAAACATCTTAGGGGATGTTTACATTCAAGTCACAGAGTCGAACATTCCCTTTCGCAGAGCAGGTTTGAAACAATCTTCTCGTACTATCTGGAAGTGGACATTTTGAGCTCCTTGGGGCCTATGCTGAAAAAGGAAATATCTTCCGACAAAAACTAGACAGAAGCATTCGCAGAATCACGTTTGTGATGTGTGCACTCAACTGTCAGAATTGAACCTTGGTTTGGACAGAGCACTTTTGAAACACTCTTTTTGTAGAATCTGCAGGTGGATATTTGGCTAGCTTTGAGGATTTCGTTGGAAACGGTAATGTCTTCAAAGAAAATCTAGACAGAAACATTCTCAGAAACACCTTCGTGATGTTTGCAATCAAGTCACAGAGTTGAACCTTCCGTTTCATAGAGCAGGTTGGAAACACTCTTTTTGTAGTATCTGGAAGTGGACATTTGGAGTGCTTTCAGGCCTCTGGTGAAAAAGGAAATATCTTCCCATAAAAACGACATAGAAGCTATCTCAGGAACTTGTTTATGATGCATCTAATCAACTAACAGTGTTGAACCTTTGTACTGACAGAGCAGTTTGAAACACTCTTTTTTTGGAATCTGCAAGTGGATATTTGGATCGCTTTGTGGATTTCGTTGGAAACGGGATGCAATATAAAACGTGCACAGCAGCATACTCAGAAAATACTTTGCCATATTTCCATTCAAGTCACAGAGTGGAACATTCCCATTCATAGAGCAGGTTGGAAACACTCTTTTTGGAGTATCTGGAAGTGGACATTTGGAGCGCTTTCTGAACTATGGTGAAAAAGGAAATATCTTCCAATGAAAACAAGACAGAAGCATTCTGAGAAACTTATTTGTGATGTGTGTCCTCAACAAACGGACTTGAACCTTTCGTTTCATGCAGTACTTCTGGAACACTCTTTTTGAAGATTCTGCATGCGGATATTTGGATAGCTTTGAGGATTTCGTTGGAAACGGGCTTACATGTAAAAATTAGACAGCAGCATTCTCAGAAACTTCTTTGTGGTGTCTGCATTCAAGTCACAGAATTGAACTTCCCCTCACATAGAGCAGTTGTGCAGCACTCTATTTGTAGTATCTGGAAGTGGACATTTGGAGGGCTTTGTAGCCTATCTGGAAAAAGGAAATATCTTCCCATGAATGCGAGATAGAAGTAATCTCAGAAACATGTTTATGCTGTATCTACTCAACTAACTGTGCTGAACATTTCTATTGATAGAGCAGTTTTGAGACACTCTTCTTTTGGAATCTGCAAGTGGATATTTGGATAGATTTGAGGATTTCGTTGGAAACGGGATTATATATAAAAAGTAGACAGCAGCATTCTCAGAAACTTCTTTGTGATGTTTGCATCCAGCTCTCAGAGTTGAACATTCCCTTTCATAGAGTAGGTTTGAAACCCTCTTTTTATAGTGTCTGGAAGCGGGCATTTGGAGCGCTTTCAGGCCTATGCTTAAAATAGGAAATATCTACCTACAGAAACTAGACAGTAGCATTCTGAGAATCACGTTTGTGATGTGGGTACTCAACTAACAGTGTTGATCCATTCTTTTGATACAGCAGTTTTGAACCACACTTTTTGTAGAATCTGCAAGTGGATATTTGGATAGCTGTGAGGATTTCGTTGGAAACGGGAATGTCTTCATAGAAAATTTAGACAGAAGCATTCTCAGAACCTTGATTGTGATGTGTGTTCTCCACTAACAGAGTTGAACCTTTCTTTTGACAGAACTGTTCTGAAACATTCTTTTTATAGAATCTGGAAGTGGATATTTGGAAAGCTTTGAGGATTTCATTGGAAACGGGAATATCTTCAAATCAAATCTAGCCAGAAGCATTCTAAGAAACATCTTAGGGATGTTTACATTCAAGTCACAGAGTTGAACATTCCCTTTCACAGAGCAGGTTTGAAACAATCTTCTCGTACTATCTGGCAGTGGACATTTTGAGCTCCTTGGGGCCTATGCTGAAAAAGGAAATATCTTCCGACAAAAACTAGACAGAAGCATTCGCAGAATCACGTTTGTGATGTGTGCACTCAACTGTCAGAATTGAACCTTGGTTTGGACAGAGCACTTTTCAAACACTCTTTTTGTAGAATCTGCAGGTGGATATTTGGCTAGCTTTGAGGATTTCGTTGGAAACGGTAATGTCTTCAAAGAAAATCTAGACAGAAGCATTCTCAGAAACACCTTCGTGATGTTTGCAATCAAGTCACAGAGTTGAACCTTCCGTTTCATAGAGCAGGTTGGAAACACTCTTTTTGTAGTATCTGGAAGTGGACATTTGGAGGGCTTTGTAGCCTATGTGGAAAAAGGAAATATCTTCCCATGAATGCGAGATAGAAGTAATCTCAGAAACATGTTTATGCTGTATCTACTCAACTAACTGTGCTGAACATTTCTATTGATAGAGCAGTTTTGAGACACTCTTCTTTTGGAATCTGCAAGTGGATATTTGGATAGATTTGAGGATTTCATTGGAAACGGGATTATATATAAAAAGTAGACAGCAGCATTCTCAGAAACTTCTTTGTGATGTTTGCATCCAGCTCTCAGAGTTGAACATTCCCTTTCATAGAGTAGGTTTGAAACCCTCTTTTTATAGTGTCTGGAAGCGGACATTTGGAGCGCTTTCAGGCCTATGCTTAAAATAGGAAATATCTACCTACAGAAACTAGACAGAAGCATTCTGAGAATCACGTTTGTGATGTGGGTACTCAACTAACAGTGTTGATCCATTCTTTTGATACAGCAGTTTTGAACCACACTTTTTGTAGAATCTGCAAGTGGATATTTGGATAGCTGTGAGGATTTCGTTGGAAACGGGAATGTCTTCATAGAAAATTTAGACAGAAGCATTCTCAGAACCTTGATTGTGATGTGTGTTCTCAACTAACAGGGTTGAACCTTTCTTTGGACAGAACTGTTTTGAAACATTCTTTTTATAGAATCTGGAAGTGGATATTTGGAAAGCTTTGAGGATTTCGTTGGAAACGGGAATATCTTCAAATAAAATCTAGCCAGAAGCATTCTAAGAAACATCTTAGGGATGTTTACATTCAAGTCACAGAGTTGAACATTCCCCTTTCTCAGAGCAGGTTTGAAACAATCTTCTCGTACTATCTGGCAGTGGACATTTTGAGCTCCTTGGGGCCTATGCTGAAAAAGGAAATATCTTCCGACAAAAACTAGACAGAAGCATATCGCAGAATCACGTTTGTGATGTGTGCACTCAACTGGTCAGAATTGAACACTTTGTTTGGACAGAGCACTTTTGAAACACTCTTTTTGTAGAATCTGCAGGTGGACATTTGGCTAGCTTTGAGGATTTCGTTGGAAACGGTAATGTCTTCAAAGAAAATCTAGACAGAAACATCCTCAGAAACACCTTCGTGATGTTTGCAATCAAGTCACAGAGTTGAACCTTCCGTTTCATAGAGCAGGTTGGAAACACTCATTTTGTAGTATCTGGAAGTGGACATTTGGAGCGCTTTCAGGCCTATGGTGTAAAAGGAAATATCTTCCCATAAAAGCGACATAGAAGCTATCTCAGGAACTTGTTTATGATGCCTCTAATCAACTAACAGTGTTGAACCTTTGTACTGACAGAGCAGTTTGAAACACTCTTTTTTTGGAATCTGCAAGTGGATATTTGGATCGCTTTGAGGATTTCGTTGGAAACGGGATGCAATATAAAACGTACACAGCAGCATACTCAGAAAATACTTTGCCATATTTCCATTCAAGTCACAGAGTGGAACATTCCCATTCATAGAGCAGGTTGGAAACACTCTTTTTGGAGTATCTGGAAGTGGACATTTGGAGCGCTTTCTGAACTATGGTGAAAAAGGAAATATCTTCCAATGAAAACAAGACAGAAGCATTCTGAGAAACTTATTTGTGATGTGTGTCCTCAACAAACGGACTTGAACCTTTTGTTTCATGCAGTATTTCTGGAACACTCTTTTTGAAGATTCTGCATGCGGATATTTGGATAGCTTTGAGGATTTCGTTGGAAACGGGCTTACATGTAAAAATTAGACAGCAGCATTCTCAGAAACTTCTTTGTGGTGTCTGCATTCAAGTCACAGAATTGAACTTCCCCTCACATAGAGCAGTTGTGCAGCACTCTATTTGTAGTATCTGGAAGTGGACATTTGGAGGGCTTTGTAGCCTATCTGGAAAAAGGAAATATCTTCCCATGAATGCGAGATAGAAGTAATCTGAGAAACATGTTTATGCTGTATCTACTCAACTAACTGTGCTGAACATTTCTATTGATAGAGCAGTTTTGAGACCCTCTTCTTTTGGAATCTGCAAGTGGATATTTGGATAGATTTGAGGATTTCATTGGAAACGGGATTATATATAAAAAGTAGACAGCAGCATTCTCAGAAACTTCTTTGTGATGTTTGCATCCAGCTCTCAGAGTTGAACATTCCCTTTCATAGAGTAGGTTTGAAACCCTCTTTTTATAGTGTCTGGAAGCGGGCATTTGGAGCGCTTTCAGGCCTATGCTTAAAATAGGAAATATCTACCTACAGAAACTAGACAGAAGCATTCTGAGAATCACGTTTGTGATGTGGGTACTCAACTAACAGTGTTGATCCATTCTTTTGATACAGCAGTTTTGAACCACACTTTTTGTAGAATCTGCAAGAGGATATTTGGATAGCTGTGAGGATTTCGTTGGAAACGGGAATGTCTTCAAAGAAAATCTAGACAGAAACATCCTCAGAAACACCTTCGTGATGTTTGCAATCAAGTCACAGAGTTGAACCTTCCGTTTCATAGAGCAGGTTGGAAACACTCATTTTGTGGTATCTGCAAGTGGACATTTGGAGCGCTTTCAGGCCTATGGTGTAAAAGGATATATGTTCCCATAAAAGCGACATAGAAGCTATCTCAGGAACTTGTTTATGATGCATCTAATCAACTAACAGTGTTGAACCTTTGTACTGACAGAGCAGTTTGAAACACTCTTTTTTTGGAATCTGCAAGTGGATATTTGGATCGCTTTGAGGATTTCGTTGGAAACGGGATGCAATATAAAACGTACACAGCAGCATACTCAGAAAATACTTTGCCATATTTCCATTCAAGTCACAGAGTGGAACATTCCCATTCATAGAGCAGGTTTGAAACACTCTTTTTGGAGTATCTGGAAGTGGACATTTGGAGCGCTTTCTGAACTATGGTGAAAAAGGAAATATCTTCCAATGAAAACAACACAGAAGCATTCTGAGAAACTTATTTGTGATGTGTGTCCTCAACAAACGGTCTTGAATCTTTCGTTTCATGCAGTACTTCTGGAACACTCTTTTTGAAGATTCTGCATGCGGATATTTGGATAGCTTTGAGGATTTCGTTGGAAACGGGCTTACATGTAAAAATTAGACAGCAGCATTCTCTGAAACTTCTTTGTGGTGTCTGCATTCAAGTCACAGAATTGAACATCCCCTCACATAGAGCAGTTGTGCAGCACTCTATTTGTAGTATCTCGAAGTGGACATTTGGAGGGCTTTGTAGCCTATCTGGAAAAAGGAAATATCTTCCCATGAATGCGAGATAGAAGTAATCTCAGAAACATGTTTATGCTGTATCTACTCAACTAACTGTGCTGAACATTTCTATTGATAGAGCAGTTTTGAGACACTCTTCTTTTGGAATCTGCAAGTGGATATTTGGATAGATTTGAGGATTTCGTTGGAAACGGGATTATATATAAAAAGTAGACAGCAGCATTCTCAGAAACTTCTTTGTGATGTTTGCATCCAGCTCTCAGAGTTGAACATTCCCTTTCATAGAGTAGGTTTGAAACCCTCTTTTTATAGTGTCTGGAAGCGGGCATTTGGAGCGCTTTCAGGCCTATGCTGAAAAAGGAAATATCTACCTATAGAAACTAGACAGAAGCATTCTGAGAATCACGTTTGTGATGTGGGTACTCAACTAACAGTGTTGATCCATTCTTTTGATACAGCAGTTTTGAACCACACTTTTTGTAGAATCTGCAAGTGGATATTTGGATAGCTGTGAGGATTTCGTTGGAAACGGGAATGTCTTCATAGAAAATTTAGACAGAAGCATTCTCAGAACCTTGATTGTGATGTGTGTTCTCCACTAACAGAGTTGAACCTTTCTTTTGACAGAACTGTTCTGAAACATTCTTTTTATAGAATCTGGAAGTGGATATTTGGAAAGCTTTGAGGATTTCGTTGGAAACGGGAATATCTTCAAATCAAATCTAGCCAGAAGCATTCTAAGAAACATCTTAGGGATGTTTACATTCAAGTCACAGAGTTGAACATTCCCTTTCACAGAGCAGGTTTGAAACAATCTTCTCGTACTATCTGGCAGTGGACATTTTGAGCTCCTTGGGGCCTATGCTGAAAAAGGAAATATCTTCCGACAAAAACTAGACAGAAGCATTCGCAGAATCACGTTTGTGATGTGTGCACTCAACTGTCAGAATTGAACCTTGGTTTGGACAGAGCACTTTTGAAACACTCTTTTTGTAGAATCTGCAGGTGGATATTTGGCTAGCTTTGAGGATTTCGTTGGAAACGGTAATGTCTTCAAAGAAAATCTAGACAGAAGCATTCTCAGAAACACCTTCGTGATGTTTGCAATCAAGTCACAGAGTTGAACCTTCCGTTTCATAGAGCAGGTTGGAAACACTCTTTTTGTAGTATCTGGAAGTGGACATTTGGAGGGCTTTGTAGCCTATGTGGAAAAAGGAAATATCTTCCCATGAATGCGAGATAGAAGTAATCTCAGAAACATGTTTATGCTGTATCTACTCAACTAACTGTGCTGAACATTTCTATTGATAGAGCAGTTTTGAGACACTCTTCTTTTGGAATCTGCAAGTGGATATTTGGATAGATTTGAGGATTTCGTTGGAAACGGGATTATATATCAAAAGTAGACAGCAGCATTCTCAGAAACTTCTTTGTGATGTTTGCATCCAGCTCTCAGAGTTGAACATTCCCTTTCATAGAGTAGGTTTGAAACCCTCTTTTTATAGTGTCTGGAAGCGGGCATTTGGAGCGCTTTCAGGCCTATGCTTAAAATAGGAAATATCTACCTACAGAAACTAGACAGAAGCATTCTGAGAATCACGTTTGTGATGTGGGTACTCAACTAACAGTGTTGATCCATTCTTTTGATACAGCAGTTTTGAACCACACTTTTTGTAGAATCTGCAAGTGGATATTTGGATAGCTGTGAGGATTTCGTTGGAAACGGGAATGTCTTCATAGAAAATTTAGACAGAAGCATTCTCAGAACCTTGATTGTGATGTGTGTTCTCCACTAACAGAGTTGAACCTTTCTTTTGACAGAACTGTTCTGAAACATTCTTTTTATAGAATCTGGAAGTGGATATTTGGAAAGCTTTGAGGATTTCGTTGGAAACGGGAATATCTTCAAATCAAATCTAGCCAGAAGCATTCTAAGAAACAGCTTAGGGATGTTTACATTCAAGTCACAGAGTTGAACATTCCCTTTCACAGAGCAGGTTTGAAACAATCTTCTCGTACTATCTGGCAGTGGACATTTTGAGCTCCTTGGGGCCTATGCTGAAAAAGGAAATATCTTCCGACAAAAACTAGACAGAAGCATTCGCAGAAACACGTTTGTGATGTGTGCACTCAACTGTCAGAATTGAACCTTGGTTTGGAGATTGCACTCTTGAAACACTCTTTTTGTAAAATCTGCAGGTGGATATTTGGCTAGCTTTGAGGATTTCGTTGGAAACGGTAATGTCTTCAAAGAAAATCTAGACAGAAGCATTCTCAGAAACACCTTCGTGATGTTTGCAATCAAGTCACAGAGTTGAACCTTCCGTTTCATAGAGCAGGTTGGAAACACTCTTATTGTAGTATCTGGAAGTGGACATTTGGAGCGCTTTCAGGCCTATGGTGAAAAAGGAAATATCTTCCCATAAAAACGACATAGAAGCTATCTCAGGAACTTGTTTATGATGCATCTAATCAACTAACAGTGTTGAACCTTTGTACTGACAGAGCAGTTTGAAACACTCTTTTTTTGGAATCTGCAGGTGGATATTTGGATCGCTTTGAGGATTTCGTTGGAAACGGGATGCAATATAAAACGTACACAGCAGCATACTCAGAAAATACTTTGCCATATTTCCATTCAAGTCACAGAGTGGAACATTCCCATTCATAGAGCAGGTTTGAAACACACTTTTTGGAGTATCTGGAAGTGGACATTTGGAGCGCTTTCTGAACTATGGTGAAAAAGGAAATATCTTCCAATGAAAACAAGACAGAAACATTCTGAGAAACTTATTTGTGATGTGTGTCCTCAACAAACGGACTTGAACCTTTCGTTTCATGCAGTACTTCTGGAACACTCTTTTTGAAGATTCTGCATGCGGATATTTGGATAGCTTTGAGGATTTCGTTGGAAACGGGCTTACATGTTAAAATTAGACAGCAGCATTCTCAGAAACTTCTTTGTGGTGTCTGCATTCAAGTCACAGAATTGAACTTCCCCTCACATAGAGCAGTTGTGCAGCACTCTATTTGTAGTATCTCGAAGTGGACATTTGGAGGGCTTTGTAGCCTATCTGGAAAAAGGAAATATCTTCCCATGAATGCGAGATAGAAGTAATCTCAGAAACATGTTTATGCTGTATCTACTCAACTAACTGTGCTGAACATTTCTATTGATAGGGCAGTTTTGAGACACTCTTCTTTTGGAATCTGCAAGTGGATATTTGGAGAGATTTGAGGATTTCGTTGGAAACGGGATTATATATAAAAAGTAGACAGCAGCATTCTCAAAACTTCTTTGTGATGTTTGCATCCAGCTCTCAGAGTTGAACATTCCCTTTCATAGAGTAGGTTTGAAACCCCCTTTTTATAGTGTCTGGAAGCGGGCATTTGGAGCGCTTTCAGGCCTATGCTGAAAAAGGAAATATCTACCTACAGAAACTAGACAGAAGCATTCTGAGAATCACGTTTGTGATGTGGGTACTCAACTAACAGTGTTGATCCATTCTTTTGATACAGCAGTTTTGAACCACACTTTTTGTAGAATCTGCAAGAGGATATTTGGATAGCTGTGAGGATTTCGTTGGAAACGGGAATGTCTTCAAAGAAAATCTAGACAGAAGCATTCTCAGAAACACCTTCGTGATGTTTGCAATCAAGTCACAGAGTTGAACCTTCCGTTTCATAGAGCAGGTTGGAAACACTCTTATTGTAGTATCTGGAAGTGGACATTTGGAGCGCTTTCAGGCCTATGGTGAAAAAGGAAATATCTTCCCATAAAAACGACATAGAAGCTATCTCAGGAACTTGTTTATGATACATCTAATCAACTAACAGTGTTGAACCTTTGTACTGACAGAGCAGTTTGAAACACTCTTTTTTTGGAATCTGCAAGTGGATATTTGGATCGCTTTGAGGATTTCGTTGGAAACGGGATGCAATATAAAACGTACACAGCAGCATACTCAGAAAATACTTTGCCATATTTCCATTCAAGTCACAGAGTGGAACATTCCCATTCATAGAGCAGGTTGGAAACACTCTTTTTGGAGTATCTGGAAGTGGACATTTGGAGCGCTTTCTGAACTATGGTGAAAAAGGAAATATCTTCCAATGAAAACAAGACAGAAGCATTCTGAGAAACTTATTTGTGATGTGTGTCCTCAACAAACGGACTTGAACCTTTCGTTTCATGCAGTACTTCTGGAACACTCTTTTTGAAGATTCTGCATGCGGATATTTGGATAGCTTTGAGGATACTCGTTGGAAACGGGCTTACATGTAAAAATTAGACAGCAGCATTCTCAGAAACTTCTTTGTGGTGTCTGCATTCAAGTCACAGAATTGAACTTCCCCTCACATAGAGCAGTTGTGCAGCACTCTATTTGTAGTATCTGGAAGTGGACATTTGGAGGGCTTTGTAGCCTATCTGGAAAAAGGAAATATCTTCCCATGAATGCGAGATAGAAGTAATCTCAGAAACATGTTTATGCTGTATCTACTCAACTAACTGTGCTGAACATTTCTATTGATAGAGCAGTTTTGAGACACTCTTCTTTTGGAATCTGCAAGTGGATATTTGGATAGATTTGAGGATTTCGTTGGAAACGGGATTATATATAAAAAGTAGACAGCAGCATTCTCAGAAACTTCTTTGTGATGTTTGCATCCAGCTCTCAGAGTTGAACATTCCCTTTCATAGAGTAGGTTTGAAACCCTCTTTTTATAGTGTCTGGAAGCGGGCATTTGGAGCGCTTTCAGGCCTATGCTTAAAATAGGAAATATCTACCTACAGAAACTAGACAGAAGCATTCTGAGAATCACGTTTGTGATGTGGGTACTCAACTAACAGTGTTGATCCATTCTTTTGATACAGCAGTTTTGAACCACACTTTTTGTAGAATCTGCAAGAGGATATTTGGATAGCTGTGAGGATTTCGTTGGAAACGGGAATGTCTTCAAAGAAAATCTAGACAGAAAGCATTCTCAGAAACACCTTCGTGATGTTTGCAATCAAGTCACAGAGTTGAACCTTCCGTTTCATAGAGCAGGTTGGAAACACTCTTATTGTAGTATCTGGAAGTGGACATTTGGAGCGCTTTCAGGCCTATGGTGAAAAAGGAAATATCTTCCCATAAAAACGACATAGAGCTATCTCAGGAACTTGTTTATGATGCATCTAATCAACTAACAGTGTTGAACCTTTGTACTGACAGAGCAGTTTGAAACACTCTTTTTTTGGAATCTGCAAGTGGATATTTGGATCGCTTTGAGGATTTCGTTGGAAACGGGATGCAATATAAAACGTACACAGCAGCATACTCAGAAAATACTTTGCCATATTTCCATTCAAGTCACAGAGTGGAACATTCCCATTCATAGAGCAGGTTTGAAACACTTTTTTTGGAGTGTCTGGAAGTGGACATTTGGAGCGCTTTCAGAACTATGGTGAAAAAGGAAATATCTTCCAATGAAAACAAGACAGAAGCATTCTGAGAAACTTATTTGTGATGCGTGTCCTCAACTAACGGACTCGAACCTTTCGTTTCATGCAGTACTTCTGGAACACTCTTTTTGAAGATTCTGCATGCGGATATTTGGATAGCTTTGAGGATTTCGTTGGAAACGGGCTTACATATAAAAATTAGACAGCAGCATTCTCAGAAACTTCTTTGTGGTGTCTGCATTCAAGTCACAGAATTGAACTTCCCCTCACATAGAGCAGTTGTGCAGCACTCTATTTGTAGTATCTGGAAGTGGACATTTGGAGGGCTTTGTAGCCTATCTGGAAAAAGGAAATATCTTCCCATGAATGCGAGATAGAAGTAATCTCAGAAACATGTTTATGCTGTATCTACTCAACTAACTGTGCTGAACATTTCTATTGATAGAGCAGTTTTGAGACACTCTTCTTTTGGAATCTGAAAGTGGATATTTGGATAGATTTGAGGATTTCGTTGGAAACGGGATTATATATCAAAAGTAGACAGCAGCATTCTCAGAAACTTCTTTGTGATGTTTGCATCCAGCTCTCAGAGTTGAACATTCCCTTTCATAGAGTAGGTTTGAAACCCTCTTTTTATAGTGTCTGCAAGCGGGCATTTGGAGCGCTTTCAGGCCTATGCTTAAAATAGGAAATATCTACCTACAGAAACTAGACAGAAGCATTCTGAGAATCACGTTTGTGATGTGGGTACTCAACTAACAGTGTTGATCCTTTCTTTTGATACAGCAGTTTTGAACCACACTTTTTGTAGAATCTGCAATAGGATATTTGGATAGCTGTGAGGATTTCGTTGGAAACGGGAATGTCTTCAAAGAAAATCTAGACAGAAGCATTCTCAGAAACACCTTCGTGATGTTTGCAATCAAGTCACAGAGTTGAACCTTCCGTTTCATAGAGCAGGTTGGAAACACTCTTATTGTAGTATCTGGAAGTGGACATTTGGAGCGCTTTCAGGCCTATGGTGAAAAAGGAAATATCTTCCCATAAAAACGACATAGAAGCTATCTCAGGAACTTGTTTATGATGCATCTAATCAACTAACAGTGTTGAACCTTTGTACTGACAGAGCACTTTGAAACACTCTTTTTTTGGAATCTGCAAGTGGATATTTGGATCGCTTTGAGGATTTCGTTGGAAACGGGATGCAATATAAAACGTACACAGCAGCATACTCAGAAAATACTTTGCCATATTTCCATTCAAGTCACAGAGTGGAACATTCCCATTCATAGAGCAGGTTGGAAACACTCTTTTTGGAGTATCTGGAAGTGGACATTTGGAGCGCTTTCTGAACTATGGTGAAAAAGGAAATATCTTCCAATGAAAACAAGACAGAAGCATTCTGAGAAACTTATTTGTGATGTGTGTCCTCAACAAACGGACTTGAACCTTTCGTTTCATGCAGTACTTCTGGAACACTCTTTTTGAAGATTCTGCATGCGGATATTTGGATAGCTTTGAGGATTTCGTTGGAAACGGGCTTACATGTAAAAATTAGACAGCAGCATTCTCAGAAACTTCTTTGTGGTGTCTGCATTCAAGTCACAGAATTGAACTTCCCCTCACATAGAGCAGTTGTGCAGCACTCTATTTGTAGTATCTGGAAGTGGACATTTGGAGGGCTTTGTAGCCTATCTGGAAAAAGGAAATATCTTCCCATGAATGCGAGATAGAAGTAATCTCAGAAACATGTTTATGCTGTATCTACTCAACTAACTGTGCTGAACATTTCTATTGATAGAGCAGTTTTGAGACACTCTTCTTTTGGAATCTGCAAGTGGATATTTGGATAGATTTGAGGATTTCGTTGGAAACGGGATTATATATAAAAAGTAGACAGCAGCATTCTCAGAAACTTCTTTGTGATGTTTGCATCCAGCTCTCAGAGTTGAACATTCCCTTTCATAGAGTAGGTTTGAAACCCTCTTTTTATAGTGTCTGGAAGCGGGCATTTGGAGCGCATTCAGGCCTATGCTTAAAATAGGAAATATCTACCTACAGAAACTAGACAGAAGCATTCTGAGAATCACGTTTGTGATGTGGGTACTCAACTAACAGTGTTGATCCATTCTTTTGATACAGCAGTTTTGAACCACACTTTTTGTAGAATCTGCAAGAGGATATTTGGATAGCTGTGAGGATTTCGTTGGAAACGGGAATGTCTTCAAAGAAAATCTAGACAGAAGCATTCTCAGAAACACCTTCGTGATGTTTGCAATCAAGTCACAGAGTTGAACCTTCCGTTTCATAGAGCAGGTTGGAAACACTCTTATTGTAGTATCTGGAAGTGGACATTTGGAGCGCTTTCAGGCCTATGGTGAAAAAGGAAATATCTTCCCATAAAAACGACATAGAAGCTATCTCAGGAACTTGTTTGTGATGCATCTAATCAACTAACAGTGTTGAACCTTTGTACTGACAGAGCAGTTTGAAACACTCTTTTTTTGGAATCTGCAAGTGGATATTTGGATCGCTTTGAGGATTTCGTTGGAAACGGGATGCAATATAAAACGTACACAGCAGCATACTCAGAAAATACTTTGCCATATTTCCATTCAAGTCACAGAGTGGAACATTCCCATTCATGGAGCAGGTTTGAAACACTCTTTTTGGAGTATCTGGAAGTGGACATTTGGAGCGCTTTCTGAACTATGGTGAAAAAGGAAATATCTTCCAATGAAAACAAGACAGAAGCATTCTGAGAAACTTATTTGTGATGTGTGTCCTCAACAAACGGACTTGAACCTTTCGTTTCATGCAGTACTTCTGGAACACTCTTTTTGAAGATTCTGCATGCAGATATTTGGATAGCTTTGAGGATTTCGTTGGAAACGGGCTTACATGTAAAAATTAGACAGCAGCATTCTCAGAAACTTCTTTGTGGTGTCTGCATTCAAGTCACAGAATTGAACATCCCCTCACATAGAGCAGTTGTGCAGCACTCTATTTGTAGTATCTGGAAGTGGACATTTGGAGGGCTTTGTAGCCTATCTGGAAAAAGGAAATATCTTCCCATGAATGCGAGATAGAAGTAATCTCAGAAACAGGTTTATGCTGTATCTACTCAACTAACTGTGCTGAACATTTCTATTGATAGAGCAGTTTTGAGACACTCTTCTTTTGGAATCTGCAAGTGGATATTTGGCTAGATTTGAGGATTTCGTTGGAAACGGGATTATATATCAAAAGTAGACAGCAGCATTCTCAGAAACTTCTTTGTGATGTTTGCATCCAGCTCTCAGAGTTGAACATTCCCTTTCATAGAGTAGGTTTGAAACCCCCTTTTTATAGTGTCTGGAAGCGGGCATTTGGAGCGCTTTCAGGCCTATGCTGAAAAAGGAAATATCTACCTACAGAAACTAGACAGAAGCATTCTGAGAATCACGTTTGTGATGTGGGTACTCAACTAACAGTGTTGATCCATTCTTTTGATACAGCAGTTTTGAACCACCCTTTTTGTAGAATCTGCAAGTGGATATTTGGATAGCTGTGAGGATTTCGTTGGAAACGGGAATGTCTTCATAGAAAATTTAGACAGAAGCATTCTCAGAACCTGGATTGTGATGTGAGTTCTCCACTAACAGAGTTGAACCTTTCTTTGGACAGAACTGTTTTGAAACATTCTTTTTATAGAATCTGGAAGTGGATATTTGGAAAGCTTTGAGGATTTCGTTGGAAACGGGAATATCTTCAAATAAAATCTAGCCAGAAGCATTCTAAGAAACATCTTAGGGATGTTTACATTCAAGTCACAGAGTTGAACATTCCCTTTCACAGAGCAGGTTTGAAACAATCTTCTCGTACTATCTGGCAGTGGACATTTTGAGCTCCTTGGGGCCTATGCTGAAAAAGGAAATATCTTCCGACAAAAACTAGACAGAAGCATTCGCAGAATCACGTTTGTGATGTGTGCACTCAACTGTCAGAATTGAACCTTGGTTTGGACAGAGCACTTTTGAAACACTCTTTTTGTAGAATCTGCAGGTGGATATTTGGCTAGCTTTGAGGATTTCGTTGGAAAAAGTAATGTCTTCAAAGAAAATCTAGACAGAAGCATTCTCAGAAACAACTTCGTGATGTTTGCAATCAAGTCACAGAGTTGAACCTTCCGTTTCATAGAGCAGGTTGGAAACACTCTTTTTGTAGTATCTGGAAGTGGACATTTGGAGGGCTTTGTAGCCTATCTGGAAAAAGGAAATATCTTCCCATGAATGCGAGATAGAAGTAATCTCAGAAACATGTTTATGCTGTATCTACTCAACTAACTGTGCTGAACATTTCTATTGATAGAGCAGTTTTGAGACACTCTTCTTTTGGAATCTGCAAGTGGATATTTGGATAGATTTGAGGATTTCGTTGGAAACGCGATTATATATAAAAAGTAGACAGCAGCATTCTCAGAAACTTCTTTGTGATGTTTGCATCCAGCTCTCAGAGTTGAACATTCCCTTTCATAGAGTAGGTTTGAAACCCTCTTTTTATAGTGTCTGGAAGCGGGCATTTGGAGCGCTTTCAGGCCTATGCTTAAAATAGGAAATATCTACCTACAGAAACTAGACAGAAGCATTCTGAGAATCTCGTTTGTGATGTGGGTACTCAACTAACAGTGTTGATCCATTCTTTTGATACAGCAGTTTTGAACCACACTTTTTGTAGAATCTGCAAGAGGATATTTGGATAGCTGTGAGGATTTCGTTGGAAACGGGAATGTCTTCAAAGAAAATGCTAGACAGAAGCATTCTCAGAACCTTGATTGTGATGTGTGTTCTCCACTAACAGAGTTGAACCTTTCTTTTGACAGAACTGTTCTGAAACATTCTTTTTATAGAATCTGGAAGTGGATATTTGGAAAGCTTTGAGGATTTCGTTGGAAACGGGAATATCTTCAAATAAAATCTAGCCAGAAGCATTCCAAGAAACATCTTAGGGATGTTTACATTCAAGTCACAGAGTTGAACATTCCCTTTCACAGAGCAGGTTTGAAACAATCTTCTCGTACTATCTGGCAGTGGACATTTTGAGCTCCTTGGGGCCTATGCTGAAAAAGGAAATATCTTCCGACAAAAACTAGACAGAAGCATTCGCAGAATCACGTTTGTGATGTGTGCACTCAACTGTCAGAATTGAACCTTGGTTTGGACAGAGCACTTTTGAAACACTCTTTTTGTAGAATCTGCAGGTGGATATTTGGCTAGCTTTGAGGATTTCGTTGGAAACGGTAATGTCTTCAAAGAAAATCTAGACAGAAGCATTCTCAGAAACACCTTCGTGATGTTTGCAATCAAGTCACAGAGTTGAACCTTCCGTTTCATAGAGCAGGTTGGAAACACACTTTTTGTAGTATCTGGAAGTGGACATTTGGAGGGCTTTGTAGCCCTATCTGGAAAAAGGAAATATCTTCCCATGAATGCGAGATAGAAGTAATCTCAGAAACATGTTTATGCTGTATCTACTCAACTAACTGTGCTGAACATTTCTATTGATAGAGCAGTTTTGAGACACTCTTCTTTTGGAATCTGCAAGTGGATATTTGGATAGATTTGAGGATTTCGTTGGAAACGGTATTATATATAAAAAGAAGACAGCAGCATTCTCAGAAACTTCTTTGTGATGTTTGCATCCAGCTCTCAGAGTTGAACATTCCCTTTCATAGCGTAGGTTTGAAACCCCCTTTTTATAGTGTCTGGAAGCGGGCATTTGGAGCGCTTTCAGGCCTATGCTGAAAAAGGAAATATCTACCTACAGAAACTAGACAGAAGCATTCTGAGAATCACGTTTGTGATGTGGGTACCTCAACTAACAGTGTTGATCCATTCTTTTGATACAGCAGTTTTGAACCACACTTTTTGTAGAATCTGCAAGTGGATATTTGGATAGCTGTGAGGATTTCGTTGGAAACGGGAATGTCTTCATAGAAAATTTAGACAGAAGCATTCTCAGAACCTTGATTGTGATGTGTGTTCTCCACTAACAGAGTTGAACCTTTCTTTTGACAGAACTGTTCTGAAACATTCTTTTTATAGAATCTGGAAGTGGATATTTGGAAAGCTTTGAGGATTTCGTTGGAAACGGGAATATCTTCAAATAAAATCTAGCCAGAAGCATTCTAAGAAATATCTTAGGGATGTTTACATTCAAGTCACAGAGTTGAACATTCCCTTTCACAGAGCAGGTTTGAAACAATCTTCTCGTACTATCTGGCAGTGGACATTTTGAGCTCCTTGGGGCCTATGCTGAAAAAGGAAATATCTTCCGACAAAAACTAGACAGAAGCATTCGCAGAATCACGTTTGTGATGTGTGCACTCAACTGTCAGAATTGAACCTTGGTTTGGACAGAGCACTTTTGAAACACTCTTTTTGTAGAATCTGCAGGTGGATATTTGGCTAGCTTTGAGGATTTCGTTGGAAACGGTAATGTCTTCAAAGAAAATCTAGACAGAAGCATTCTCAGAAACACCTTCGTGATGTTTGCAATCAAGTCACAGAGTTGAACCTTCCGTTTCATAGAGCAGGTTGGAAACACACTTTTTGTAGTATCTGGAAGTGGACATTTGGAGGGCTTTGTAGCCTATCTGGAAAAAGGAAATATCTTCCCATGAATGCGAGATAGAAGCTATCTCAGGAACTTGTTTATGATGCATCTAATCAACTAACAGTGTTGAACCTTTGTACTGACAGAGCAGTTTGAAACACTCTTTTTTTGGAATCTGCAAGTGGATATTTGGATCGCTTTGAGGATTTCGTTGGAAACGGGATGCAATATAAAACGTACACAGCAGCATACTCAGAAAATACTTTGCCATATTTCCATTCAAGTCACAGAGTGGAACATTCCCATTCATAGAGCAGGTTGGAAACACTCTTTTTGGAGTATCTGGAAGTGGACATTTGGAGCGCTTTCTGAACTATGGTGAAAAGGGAAATATGTTCCAATGAAAACAAGACAGAAGCATTCTGAGAAACTTATTTGTGATGCGTGTCCTCAACTAACGGACTCGAACCTTTCGTTTCATGCAGTACTTCTGGAACACTCTTTTTGAAGATTCTGCATGCGGATATTTGGTTAGCTTTGAGGATTTCGTTGGAAACGGGCTTACATATAAAAATTAGACAGCAGCATTCTCAGAAACTTCTTTGTGGTGTCTGCTTTCAAGTCACAGAATTGAACATCCCCTCACATAGAGCAGTTGTGCAGCACTCTATTTGTAGTATCTCGAAGTGGACATTTGGAGGGCTTTGTAGCCTATCTGGAAAAAGGAAATATCTTCCCATGAATGCGAGATAGAAGTAATCTCAGAAACATGTTTATGCTGTATCTACTCAACTAACTGTGCTGAACATTTCTATTGATAGAGCAGTTTTGAGACACTCTTCTTTTGGAATCTGCAAGTGGATATTTGGATAGATTTGAGGATTTCGTTGGAAACGGGATTATATATCAAAAGTAGACAGCAGCATTCTCAGAAACTTCTTTGTGATGTTTGCATCCAGCTCTCAGAGTTGAACATTCCCTTTCATAGAGTAGGTTTGAAACCCTCTTTTTATAGTGTCTGGAAGCGGGCATTTGGAGCGCTTTCAGGCCTATGCTTAAAATAGGAAATATCTACCTACAGAAACTAGACAGAAGCATTCTGAGAATCACGTTTGTGATGTGGGTACTCAACTAACAGTGTTGATCCATTCTTTTGATACAGCAGTTTTGAACCACACTTTTTGTAGAATCTGCAAGAGGATATTTGGATAGCTGTGAGGATTTCGTTGGAAACGGGAATGTCTTCAAAGAAAATCTAGACAGAAGCATTCTCAGAAACACCTTCGTGATGTTTGCAATCAAGTCACAGAGTTGAACCTTCCGTTTCATAGAGCAGGTTGGAAACACTCTTTTTGTAGTATCTGGAAGTGGACATTTGGAGGGCTTTGTAGCCTATCTGGAAAAAGGAAATATCTTCCCATGAATGCGAGATAGAAGTAATCTCAGAAACATGTTTATGCTGTATCTACTCAACTAACTGTGCTGAACATTTCTATTGATAGAGCAGTTTTGAGACACTCTTCTTTTGGAATCTGCAAGTGGATATTTGGATAGATTTGAGGATTTCGTTGGAAACGGGATTATATATAAAAAGTTGACAGCAGCATTCTCAGAAACTTCTTTGTGATATTTGCATCCAGCTCTCAGAGTTGAACATTCCCTTTCATAGAGTAGGTTTGAAACCCTCTTTTTATAGTGTCTGGAAGCGGGCATTTGGAGCGCTTTCAGGTCTATGCTTAAAATAGGAAATATCTACCTACAGAAACTAGACAGAAGCATTCTGAGAATCACGTTTGTGATGTGGGTACTCAACTAACAGTGTTGATCCATTCTTTTGATACAGCAGTTTTGAACCACACTTTTTGTAGAATCTGCAAGAGGATATTTGGATAGCTGTGAGGATTTCGTTGGAAACGGGAATGTCTTCAAAGAAAATCTAGACAGAAGCATTCTCAGAAACACCTTCGTGATGTTTGCAATCAAGTCACAGAGTTGAACCTTCCGTTTCATAGAGCAGGTTGGAAACACTCTTATTGTAGTATCTGGAAGTGGACATTTGGAGCGCTTTCAGGCCTATGGTGAAAAAGGAAATATCTTCCCATAAAAACGACATAGAAGCTATCTCAGGAACTTGTTTATGATGCATCTAATCAACTAACAGTGTTGAACCTTTGCACTGACAGAGCAGTTTGAAACACTCTTTTTTTGGAATCTGCAAGTGGATATTTGGATCGCTATGAGGATTTCGTTGGAAACGGGATGCAATATAAAACGTACACAGCAGCATACTCAGCAAAATACTTTGCCATATTTCCATTCAAGTCACAGAGTGGAACATTCCCATTCATAGAGCAGGTTGGAAACACTCTTTTTGGAGTATCTGGAAGTGGACATTTGGAGCGCTTTCTGAACTATGGTGAAAAAGGAAATATCTTCCAATGAAAACAAGACAGAAGCATTCTGAGAAACTTATTTGTGATGTGTGTCCTCAACAAACGGACTTGAACCTTTCGTTTCATGCAGTACTTCTGGAACACTCTTTTTGAAGATTCTGCATGCGGATATTTGGATAGCTTTGAGGATTTCGTTGGAAACGGGCTTACATGTAAAAATTAGACAGCAGCATTCTCAGAAACTTCTTTGTGGTGTCTGCATTCAAGTCACAGAATTGAACATCCCCTCACATAGAGCAGTTGTGCAGCACTCTATTTGTAGTATCTGGAAGTGGACATTTGGAGGGCTTTGTAGCCTATCTGGAAAAAGGAAATATCTTCCCATGAATGCGAGATAGAAGTAATCTCAGAAACATGTTTATGCTGTATCTACTCAACTAACTGTGCTGAACATTTCTATTGATAGAGCAGTTTTCAGACACTCTTCTTTTGGAATCTGCAAGTGGATATTTGGATAGATTTGAGGATTTCGTTGGAAACGGGATTATATATAAAAAGTAGACAGCAGCATTCTCAGAAACTTCTTTGTGATGTTTGCATCCAGCTCTCAGAGTTGAACATTCCCTTTCATAGAGTAGGTTTGAAACCCTCTTTTTATAGTGTCTGGAAGCGGGCATTTGGAGCGCTTTCAGGCCTATGCTTAAAATAGGAAATATCTACCTACAGAAACTAGACAGAAGCATTCTGAGAATCACGTTTGTGATGTGGGTACTCAACTAACAGTGTTGATCCATTCTTTTGATACAGCAGTTTTGAACCACACTTTCTGTAGAATCTGCAAGAGGATATTTGGATAGCTGTGAGGATTTCGTTGGAAACGGGAATGTCTTCAAAGAAAATCTAGACAGAAGCATTCTCAGAACCTTGATTGTGATGTGTGTTCTCCACTAACAGAGTTGAACCTTTCTTTTGACAGAACTGTTCTGAAACATTCTTTTTATAGAATCTGGAAGTGGATATTTGGAAAGCTTTGAGGATTTCGTTGGAAACGGGAATATCTTCAAATCAAATCTAGCCAGAAGCATTCTAAGAAACATCTTAGGGATGTTTACATTCAAGTCACAGAGTTGAACATTCCCTTTCACAGAGCAGGTTTGAAACAATCTTCTCGTAGTATCTGGAAGTGGACATTTTGAGCTCCTTGGGGCCTATGCTGAAAAAGGAAATATCTTCCGACAAAAACTAGACAGAAGCATTCGCAGAATCACGTTTGTGATGTGTGCACTCAACTGTCAGAATTGAACCTTGGTTTGGACAGAGCACATTTGAAACACTCTTTTTGTAGAATCTGCAGGTGGATATTTGGCTAGCTTTGAGGATTTCGTTGGAAACGGGAATGTCTTCAAAGAAAATCTAGACAGAAGCATTCTCAGAAACACCTTCGTGATGTTTGCAATCAAGTCACAGAGTTGAACCTTCCGTTTCATAGAGCAGGTTGGAAACACTCTTTTTGTAGTATCTGGAAGTGGACATTTGGAGGGCTTTGTAGCCTATGTGGAAAAAGGAAATATCTTCCCATGAATGCGAGATAGAAGTAATCTCAGAAACATGTTTATGCTGTATCTACTCAACTAACTGTGCTGAACATTTCTATTGATAGAGCAGTTTTGAGACACTCTTCTTTTGGAATCTGCAAGTGGATATTTGGATAGATTTGAGGATTTCGTTGGAAACGGGATTATATATAAAAAGTAGACAGCAGCATTCTCAGAAACTTCTTTGTGATGTTTGCATCCAGCTCTCAGAGTTGAACATTCCCTTTCATAGAGTAGGTTTGAAACCCTCTTTTTATAGTGTCTGGAAGCGGGCATTTGGAGCGCTTTCAGGCCTATGCTTAAAATAGGAAATATCTACCTACAGAAACTAGACAGAAGCATTCTGAGAATCACGTTTGTGATGTGGGTACTCAACTAACAGTGTTGATCCATTCTTTTGATACAGCAGTTTTGAACCACACTTTTTGTAGAATCTGCAAGAGGATATTTGGATAGCTGTGAGGATTTCGTTGGAAACGGGAATGTCTTCAAAGAAAATCTAGACAGAAGCATTCTCAGAAACACCTTCGTGATGTTTGCAATCAAGTCACAGAGTTGAACCTTCCGTTTCATAGAGCAGGTTGGAAACACTCTTATTGTAGTATCTGGAAGTGGACATTTGGAGCGCTTTCAGGCCTATGGTGAAAAAGGAAATATCTTCCCATAAAAACGACATAGAAGCTATCTCAGGAACTTGTTTATGATGCATCTAATCAACTAACAGTGTTGAACCTTTGTACTGACAGAGCAGTTTGAAACACTCTTTTTTTGGAATCTGCAAGTGGATATTTGGATCGCTTTGAGGATTTCGTTGGAAACGGGATGCAATAAAAAACGTACACAGCAGCATACTCAGAAAATACTTTGCCATATTTCCATTCAAGTCACAGAGTGGAACATTCCCATTCATAGAGCAGGTTGGAAACACTCTTTTTGGAGTATCTGGAAGTGGACATTTGGAGCGCTTTCTGAACTATGGTGAAAAAGGAAATATCTTCCAATGAAAACAAGACAGAAGCATTCTGAGAAACTTATTTGTGATGTGTGTCCTCAACAAACGGACTTGAACCTTTCGTTTCATGCAGTACTTCTGGAACACTCTTTTTGAAGATTCTGCATGCGGATATTTGGATAGCTTTGAGGATTTCGTTGGAAACGGGCTTACATGTAAAAATTAGACAGCAGCATTCTCAGAAACTTCTTTGTGGTGTCTGCATTCAAGTCACAGAATTGAACTTCCCCTCACATAGAGCAGTTGTGCAGCACTCTATTTGTAGTATCTGGAAGTGGACATTTGGAGGGCTTTGTAGCCTATCTGGAAAAAGGAAATATCTTCCCATGAATGCGAGATAGAAGTAATCTCAGAAACATGTTTATGCTGTATCTACTCAACTAACTGTGCTGAACATTTCTATTGATAGAGCAGTTTTGAGACACTCTTCTTTTGGAATCTGCAAGTGGATATTTGGATAGATTTGAGGATTTCGTTGGAAACGGGATTATATATAAAAAGTAGACAGCAGCATTCTCAGAAACTTCTTTGTGATGTTTGCATTTAGCTCTCAGAGTTGAACACTCCCTTTCATAGAGTAGGTTTGAAACCCTCTTTTTATAGTGTCTGGAAGCGGGCATTTTGAGCGCTTTCAGGCCTATGCTTAAAATAGGAAATATCTACCTATAGAAACTAGACAGAAGCATTCTGAGAATCACGTTTGTGATGTGGGTACTCAACTAACAGTGTTGATCCATTCTTTTGATACAGCAGTTTTGAACCACACTTTTTGTAGAATCTGCAAGAGGATATTTGGATAGCTGTGAGGATTTCGTTGGAAACGGGAATGTCTTCAAAGAAAATCTAGACAGAAGCATTCTCAGAAACATCTTCGTGATGTTTGCAATCAAGTCACAGAGTTGAACCTTCCGTTTCATAGAACAGGTTGGAAACACTCTTATTGTAGTATCTGGAAGTGGACATTTGGAGCGCTTTCAGGCCTATGGTGAAAAAGGAAATATCATCCCATAAAAACGATATAGAAGCTATCTCAGGAACTTGTTTATGATGCATCTAATCAACTAACAGTGTTGAACCTTTGTACTGACAGAGCAGTTTGAAACACTCTTTTTTTGGAATCTGCAAGTGGATATTTGGATCGCTTTGAGGATTTCGTTGGAAACGGGATGCAATATAAAACGTACACAGCAGCATACTCAGAAAATACTTTGCCATATTTCCATTCAAGTCAGAGAGTGGAACATTCCCATTCATAGAGCAGGTTGGAAACACTCTTTTTGGAGTATCTGGAAGTGGACATTTGGAGCGCTTTCTGAACTATGGTGAAAAAGGAAATATCTTCCAATGAAAACAAGACAGAAGCATTCTGAGAAACTTATTTGTGATGTGTGTCCTCAACAAACGGACTTGAACCTTTCGTTTCATGCAGTACTTCTGGAACACTCTTTTTGAAGATTCTGCATGCGGATATTTGGATAGCTTTGAGGATTTCGTTGGAAACGGGCTTACATGTAAAAATTAGACAGCAGCATTCTCAGAAACTTCTTTGTGGTGTCTGCATTCAAGTCACAGAATTGAACATCCCCTCACATAGAGCAGTTGTGCAGCACTCTATTTGTAGTATCTGGAAGTGGACATTTGGAGGGCTTTGTAGCCTATGTGGAAAAAGGAAATATCTTCCCATGAATGCGAGATAGAAGTAATCTCAGAAACATGTTTATGCTGTACCTACTCAACTAACTGTGCTGAACATTTCTATTGATAGAGCAGTTTTGAGACACTCTTCTTTTGGAATCTGCAAGTGGATATTTGGATAGATTTGAGGATTTCGTTGGAAACGGGATTATATATAAAAAGTAGACAGCAGCATTCTCAGAAACTTCTTTGTGATGTTTGCATCCAGCTCTCAGAGTTGAACATTCCCTTTCATAGAGTAGGTTTGAAACCCTCTTTTTATAGTGTCTGGAAGCGGGCATTTGGAGCGCTTTCAGGCCTATGCTTAAAATAGGAAATATCTACCTACAGAAACTAGACAGAAGCATTCTGAGAATCACGTTTGTGATGTGGGTACCTCAACTAACAGTGTTGATCCATTCTTTTGATACAGCAGTTTTGAACCACACTTTTTGTAGAATCTGCAAGAGGATATTTGGATAGCTGTGAGGATTTCGTTGGAAACGGGGATGTCTTCAAAGAAAATCTAGACAGAAGCATTCTCAGAAACACCTTCGTGATGTTTGCAATCAAGTCACAGAGTTGAACCTTCCGTTTCATAGAGCAGGTTGGAAACACTCTTATTGTAGTATCTGGAAGTGGACATTTGGAGCGCTTTCAGGCCTATGGTGAAAAAGGAAATATCTTCCCATAAAAACGACATAGAAGCTATCTCAGGAACTTGTTTATGATGCATCTAATCAACTAACAGTGTTGAACCTTTGTACTGACAGAGCAGTTTGAAACACTCTTTTTTTGGAATCTGCAAGTGGATATTTGGATCGCTTTGAGGATTTCGTTGGAAACGGGATGCAATATAAAACGTACACAGCAGCATACTCAGAAAATACTTTGCCATATTTCCATTCAAGTCACAGAGTGGAACATTCCCATTCATAGAGCAGGTTTGAAACACTCTTTTTGGAGTATCTGGAAGTGGACATTTGGAGCGCTTTCTGAACTATGGTGAAAAAGGAAATATCTTCCAATGAAAACAAGACAGAAGCATTCTGAGAAACTTATTTGTGATGTGTGTCCTCAACAAACGGACTTGAACCTTTCGTTTCATGCAGTACTTCTGGAACACTCTTTTTGAAGATTCTGCATTCGGATATTTGGATAGCTTTGAGGATTTCGTTGGAAACGGGCTTACATGTAAAAATTAGACAGCAGCATTCTCAGAAACTTCTTTGTGGTGTCTGCATTCAAGTCACAGAATTGAACTTCCCCTCACATAGAGCAGTTGTGCAGCACTCTATTTGTAGTATCTCGAAGTGGACATTTGGAGGGCTTTGTAGCCTATCTGGAAAAAGGAAATATCTTCCCATGAATGCGAGATAGAAGTAATCTCAGAAACATGTTTATGCTGTATCTACTCAACTAACTGTGCTGAACATTTCTATTGATAGGGCAGTTTTGAGACACTCTTCTTTTGGAATCTGCAAGTGGATATTTGGAGAGATTTGAGGATTTCGTTGGAAACGGGATTATATATAAAAAGTAGACAGCAGCATTCTCAGAAACTTCTTTGTGATGTTTGCATCCAGCTCTCAGAGTTGAACATTCCCTTTCATAGAGTAGGTTTGAAACCCTCTTTTTATAGTGTCTGGAAGCGGGCATTTGGAGCGCTTTCAGGCCTATGCTGAAAAAGGAAATATCTACCTATAGAAACTAGACAGAAGCATTCTGAGAATCACGTTTGTGATGTGGGTACTCAACTAACAGTGTTGATCCATTCTTTTGATACAGCAGTTTTGAACCACACTTTTTGTAGAATCTGCAAGTGGATATTTGGATAGCTGTGAGGATTTCGTTGGAAACGGGAATGTCTTCAAAGAAAATCTAGACAGAAGCATTCTCAGAACCTTGATTGTGATGTGTGTTCTCCACTAACAGAGTTGAACCTTTCTTTTGACAGAACTGTTCTGAAACATTCTTTTTATAGAATCTGGAAGTGGATATTTGGAAAGCTTTGAGGATTTCGTTGGAAACGGGAATATCTTCAAATAAAATCTAGCCAGAAGCATTCTAAGAAACATCTTAGGGATGTTTACATTCAAGTCACAGAGTTGAACATTCCCTTTCACAGAGCAGGTTTGAAACAATCTTCTCGTACTATCTGGCAGTGGACATTTTGAGCTCCTTGGGGCCTATGCTGAAAAAGGAAATATCTTCCGACAAAAACTAGACAGAAGCATTCGCAGAATCACGTTTGTGATGTGTGCACTCAACTGTCAGAATTGAACCTTGGTTTGGACAGAGCACTTTTGAAACACTCTTTTTGTAGAATCTGCAGGTGGATATTTGGCTAGATTTGAGGATTTCGTTGGAAACGGTAATGTCTTCAAAGAAAATCTAGACAGAAGCATTCTCAGAAACACCTTCGTGATGTTTGCAATCAAGTCACAGAGTTGAACCTTCCGTTTCATAGAGCAGGTTGGAAACACTCTTTTTGTAGTATCTGGAAGTGGACATTTGGAGCGCTTTCAGGCCTATGGTGAAAAAGGAAATATCTTCCCATAAAAACGACATAGAATCTATATCAGGAACTTGTTTATGATGCATCTAATCAACTAACAGTGTTGAACCTTTGTACTGACAGAGCAGTTTGAAACACTCTTTTTTTGGAATCTGCAAGTGGATATTTGGATCGCTTTGAGGATTTCGTTGGAAACGGGATGCAATATAAAACGTACACAGCAGCATACTCAGAAAATACTTTGCCATATTTCCATTCAAGTCACAGAGTGGAACATTCCCATTCATAGAGCAGGTTTGAAACACTCTTTTTGGAGTATCTGGAAGTGGACATTTGGAGCGCTTTCTGAACTATGGTGAAAAAGGAAATATCTTCCAATGAAAACAAGACAGAAGCATTCTGAGAAACTTATTTGTGATGTGTGTCCTCAACAAACGGACTTGAACCTTTCGTTTCATGCAGTACTTCTGGAACACTCTTTTTGAAGATTCTGCATGCGGATATTTGGATAGCTTTGAGGATTTCGTTGGAAACGGGCTTACATGTAAAAATTAGACAGCAGCATTCTCAGAAACTTCTTTGTGGTGTCTGCATTCAAGTCACAGAATTGAACATCCCCTCACATAGAGCAGTTGTGCAGCACTCTATTTGTAGTATCTGGAAGTGGACATTTGGAGGGCTTTGTAGCCTATCTGGAAAAAGGAAATATCTTCCCATGAATGCGAGATAGAAGTAATGCTCAGTAAACATGTTTATGCTGTATGTACTCAACTAACTGTGCTGAACATTTCTATTGATAGAGCAGTTTTGAGACACTCTTCTTTTGGAATCTGCAAGTGGATATTTGGATAGATTTGAGGATTTCCTTGGAAACGGGATTATATATAAAAAGTAGACAGCAGCATTCTCAGAAACTTCTTTGTGATGTTTGCATCCAGCTCTCAGAGTTGAACATTCCCTTTCATAGAGTAGGTTTGAAACCCTCTTTTTATAGTGTCTGGAAGCGGGCATTTGGAGCGCTTTCAGGCCTATGCTGAAAAAGGAAATATCTACCTATAGAAACTAGACAGAAGCATTCTGAGAATCACGTTTGTGATGTGGGTACTCAACTAACAGTGTTGATCCATTCTTTTGATACAGCAGTTTTGAACCACACTTTTTGTAGAATCTGCAAGTGGATATTTGGATAGCTGTGAGGATTTCGTTGGAAACGGGAATGTCTTCATAGAAAATTTAGACAGAAGCATTCTCAGAACCTTGATTGTGATGTGTGTTCTCCACTAACAGAGTTGAACCTTTCTTTTGACAGAACTGTTCTGAAACATTCTTTTTATAGAATCTGGAAGTGGATATTTGGAAAGCTTTGAGGATTTCGTTGGAAACGGGAATATCTTCAAATAAAATCTAGCCAGAAGCATTCT
The DNA here is from genome assembly GCF_000001405.40 of Homo sapiens. Classification (NCBI taxonomy): domain Eukaryota; kingdom Metazoa; phylum Chordata; class Mammalia; order Primates; family Hominidae; genus Homo; species Homo sapiens. The sequence goes on from NC_000008.11 coordinate 45,321,293, forward strand.
AAGAAACATCTCAGGGATGTTTACATTCAAGTCACAGAGTTGAACATTCCCTTTCACAGAGCAGGTTTGAAACAATCTTCTCGTACTATCTGGCAGTGGACATTTTGAGCTCTTTGGGGCCTATGCTGAAAAAGGAAATATCTTCCGACAAAAACTAGACAGAAGCATTCGCAGAATCACGTTTGTGATGTGTGCACTCAACTGTCAGAATTGAACCTTGGTTTGGACAGAGCACTTTTGAAACACTCTTTTTGTAGAATCTGCAGGTGGATATTTGGCTAGCTTTGAGGATTTCGTTGGAAACGGTAATGTCTTCAAAGAAAATCTAGACAGAAGCATTCTCAGAAACACCTTCGTGATGTTTGCAATCAAGTCACAGAGTTGAACCTTCCGTTTCATAGAGCAGGTTGGAAACACTCTTTGTAGTATCTGGAAGTGGACATTTGGAGGGCTTTGTAGCCTATCTGGAAAAAGGAAATATCTTCCCATGAATGCGAGATAGAAGTAATCTCAGAAACATGTTTATGCTGTATCTACTCAACTAACTGTGCTGAACATTTCTATTGATAGAGCAGTTTTGAGACACTCTTCTTTTGGAATCTGCAAGTGGATATTTGGATAGATTTGAGGATTTCGTTGGAAACGGGATTATATATCAAAAGTAGACAGCAGCATTCTCAGAAACTTTTTGTGATGTTTGCATCCAGCTCTCAGAGTTGAACATTCCCTTTCATAGAGTAGGTTTGAAACCCTCTTTTTATAGTGTCTGGAAGCGGGCATTTGGAGCGCTTTCAGGCCTATGCTGAAAAAGGAAATATCTACCTATGGAAACTAGACAGAAGCATTCTGAGAATCACGTTTGTGATGTGGGTACTCAACTAACAGTGTTGATCCATTCTTTTGATACAGCAGTTTTGAACCACACTTTTTGTAGAATCTGCAAGTGGATATTTGGATAGCTGTGAGGATTTCGTTGGAAACGGGAATGTCTTCATAGAAAATTTAGACAGAAGCATTCTCAGAACCTTGATTGTGATGTGTGTTCTCCACTAACAGAGTTGAACCTTTCTTTTGACAGAACTGTTCTGAAACATTCTTGTTATAGAATCTGGAAGTGGATATTTGGAAAGCTTTGAGGATTTCGTTGGAAACGGGAATATCTTCAAATCAAATCTAGCCAGAAGCATTCTAAGAAACATCTTAGGGATGTTTACATTCAAGTCACAGAGTTGAACATTCCCTTTCACAGAGCAGGTTTGAAACAATCTTCTCGTACTATCTGGCAGTGGACATTTTGAGCTCCTTGGGGCCTATGCTGAAAAAGGAAATATCTTCCGACAAAAACTAGACAGAAGCATTCGCAGAATCACGTTTGTGATGTGTGCACTCAACTGTCAGAATTGAACCTTGGTTTGGACAGAGCACTTTTGAAACACTCTTTTTGTAGAATCTGCAGGTGGATATTTGGCTAGCTTTGAGGATTTCGTTGGAAACGGTAATGTCTTCAAAGAAAATCTAGACAGAAGCATTCTCAGAAACACCTTCGTGATGTTTGCAATCAAGTCACAGAGTTGAACCTTCCGTTTCATAGAGCAGGTTGGAAACACTCTTTTTGTAGTATCTGGAAGTGGACATTTGGAGGGCTTTGTAGCCTATCTGGAAAAAGGAAATATCTTCCCATGAATGCGAGATAGAAGTAATCTCAGAAACATGTTTATGCTGTATCTACTCAACTAACTGTGCTGAACATTTCTATTGATAGAGCAGTTTTGAGACACTCTTCTTTTGGAATCTGCAAGTGGATATTTGGATAGATTTGAGGATTTCGTTGGAAACGGGATTATATATAAAAAGTAGACAGCAGCATTCTCAGAAACTTCTTTGTGATGTTTGCATCCAGCTCTCAGAGTTGAACATTCCCTTTCATAGAGTAGGTTTGAAACCCTCTTTTTATAGTGTCTGGAAGCGGGCATTTGGAGCGCTTTCAGGCCTATGCTGAAAAAGGAAATATCTACCTATAGAAACTAGACAGAAGCATTCTGAGAATCACGTTTGTGATGTGGGTACTCAACTAACAGTGTTGATCCATTCTTTTGATACAGCAGTTTTGAACCACACTTTTTGTAGAATCTGCAAGTGGATATTTGGATAGCTGTGAGGATTTCGTTGGAAACGGGAATGTCTTCATAGAAAATTTAGACAGAAGCATTCTCAGAACCTTGATTGTGATGTGTGTTCTCCACTAACAGAGTTGAACCTTTCTTTTGACAGAACTGTTCTGAAACATTCTTTTTATAGAATCTGGAAGTGGATATTTGGAAAGCTTTGAGGATTTCGTTGGAAACGGGAATATCTTCAAATCAAATCTAGCCAGAAGCATTCTAAGAAACAGCTTAGGGATGTTTACATTCAAGTCACAGAGTTGAACATTCCCTTTCACAGAGCAGGTTTGAAACAATCTTCTCGTACTATCTGGCAGTGGACATTTTGAGCTCCTTGGGGCCTATGCTGAAAAAGGAAATATCTTCCGACAAAAACTAGACAGAAGCATTCGCAGAATCACGTTTGTGATGTGTGCACTCAACTGTCAGAATTGAACCTTGGTTTGGACAGAGCACTTTTGAAACACTCTTTTTGTAGAATCTGCAGGTGGATATTTGGCTAGCTTTGAGGATTTCGTTGGAAACGGTAATGTCTTCAAAGAAAATCTAGACAGAAGCATTCTCAGAAACACCTTCGTGATGTTTGCAATCAAGTCACAGAGTTGAACCTTCCGTTTCTTAGAGCAGGTTGGAAACACTCTTTTTGTAGTATCTGGAAGTGGACATTTGGAGCGCTTTCAGGCCTATGGTGAAAAAGGAAATATATTCCCATAAAAACGACATAGAAGCTATCTCAGGAACTTGTTTATGATGCATCTAATCAACTAACAGTGTTGAACCTTTGTACTGACAGAGCAGTTTGAAACACTCTTTTTTTGGAATCTGCAAGTGGATATTTGGATCGCTTTGAGGATTTCGTTGGAAACGGGATGCAATATAAAACGTACACAGCAGCATACTCAGAAAATACTTTGCCATATTTCCATTCAAGTCACAGAGTGGAACATTCCCATTCATAGAGCAGGTTGGAAACACTCTTTTTGGAGTATCTGGAAGTGGACATTTGGAGCGCTTTCTGAACTATGGTGAAAAAGGAAATATCTTCCAATGAAAACAAGACAGAAGCATTCTGAGAAACTTATTTGTGATGTGTGTCCTCAACAAACGGACTTGAACCTTTCGTTTCATGCAGTACTTCTGGAACACTCTTTTTGAAGATTCTGCATGCGGATATTTGGATTGCTTTGAGGATTTCGTTGGAAACGGGCTTACATGTAAAAATTAGACAGCAGCATTCTCAGAAACTTCTTTGTGGTGTCTGCATTCAAGTCACAGAATTGAACATCCCCTCACATAGAGCAGTTGTGCAGCACTCTATTTGTAGTATCTGGAAGTGGACATTTGGAGGGTTTTGTAGCCTATCTGGAAAAAGGAAATATCTTCCCATGAATGCGAGATAGAAGTAATCTCAGAAACATGTTTATGCTGTATCTACTCAACTAACTGTGCTGAACATTTCTATTGATAGAGCAGTTTTTAGACACTCTTCTTTTGGAATCTGCAAGTGGATATTTGGAAAGATTTGAGGATTTCGTTGGCAACGGGATTATATATAAAAAGTAGACAGCAGCATTCTCAGAAACTTCTTTGTGATGTTTGCATCCAGCTCTCAGAGTTGAACATTCCCTTTCATAGAGTAGGTTTGAAACCCTCTTTTTATAGTGTCTGGAAGCGGGCATTTGGAGCGCTTTCAGGCCTATGCTGAAAAAGGAAATATCTACATATAGAAACTAGACAGAAGCATTCTGAGAATCACGTTTGTGATGTGGGTACTCAACTAACAGTGTTGATCCATTCTTTTGATACAGCAGTTTTGAACCACACTTTTTGTAGAATCTGCAAGTGGATATTTGGATAGCTGTGAGGATTTCGTTGGAAACGGGAATGTCTTCATAGAAAATTTAGACAGAAGCATTCTCAGAACCTTGATTGTGATGTGTGTTCTCCACTAACAGAGTTGAACCTTTCTTTTGACAGAACTGTTCTGAAACATTCTTTTTATAGAATCTGGAAGTGGATATTTGGAAAGATTTGAGGATTTCGTTGGAAACGGGAATATCTTCAAATAAAATCTAGCCAGAAGCATTCTAAGAAACATATTAGGGATGTTTACATTCAAGTCACAGAGTGGAACATTCCCTTTCGCAGAACAGGTTTGAAACAATCTTCTCGTACTATCTGGAAGTGGACATTTTGAGCTCCTTGGGGCCTATGCTGAAAAAGGAAATATCTTCCGACAAAAACTAGATAGAAGCATTCGCAGAATCACGTTTGTGATGTGTGCACTCAACTGTCAGAATTGAACCTTGGTTTGGACAGAGCACTTTTGAAACACTCTTTTTGTAGAATCTGCAGGTGGATATTTGGCTAGCTTTGAGGATTTCGTTGGAAACGGTAATGTCTTCAAAGAAAATCTAGACAGAAGCATTCTCAGAAACACCTTCGTGATGTTTGCAATCAAGTCACAGAGTTGAACCTTCCGTTTCATAGAGCAGGTTGGAAACACTCTTTTTGTAGTATCTGGAAGTGGACATTTGGAGGGCTTTGTAGCCTATCTGGAAAAAGGAAATATCTTCCCATGAATGCGAGATAGAAGTAATCTCAGAAACATGTTTATGCTGTATCTACTCAACTAACTGTGCTGAACATTTCTATTGATAGAGCAGTTTTGAGACACTCTTCTTTTGGAATCTGCAAGTGGATATTTGGATAGATTTGAGGATTTCGTTGGAAACGGGATTATATATAAAAAGTAGACAGCCAGCATTCTCAGAACTTCTTTGTGATGTTTGCATCCAGCTCTCAGAGTTGAACATTCCCTTTCATAGAGTAGGTTTGAAACCCTCTTTTTATAGTGTCTGGAAGCGGGCATTTGGAGCGCTTTCAGGCCTATGCTGAAAAAGGAAATATCTACCTATAGAAACTAGACAGAGCATTCTGAGAATCACGTTTGTGATGTGGGTACTCAACTAACAGTGTTGATCCATTCTTTTGATACAGCAGTTTTGAACCACACTTTTTGTAGAATCTGCAAGTGGATATTTGGATAGCTGTGAGGATTTCGTTGGAAACGGGAATGTCTTCATAGAAAATTTAGACAGAAGCATTCTCAGAACCTTGATTGTGATGTGTGTTCTCCACTAACAGAGTTGAACCTTTCTTTTGACAGAACTGTTCTGAAACATTCTTTTTATAGAATCTGGAAGTGGATATTTGGAAAGCTTTGAGGATTTCGTTGGAAACGGGAATATCTTCAAATAAAATCTAGCCAGAAGCATTCTAAGAAACATCTTAGGGATGTTTACATTCAAGTCACAGAGTTGAACATTCCCTTTCACAGAGCAGGTTTGAAACAATCTTCTCGTACTATCTGGCAGTGGACATTTTGAGCTCCTTGGGGCCTATGCTGAAAAAGGAAATATCTTCCGACAAAAACTAGACAGAAGCATTCGCAGAATCGCGTTTGTGATGTGTGCACTCAACTGTCAGAATTGAACCTTGGTTTGGACAGAGCACTTTTGAAACACTCTTTTTGTAGAATCTGCAGGTGGATATTTGGCTAGCTTTGAGGATTTCGTTGGAAACGGTAATGTCTTCAAAGAAAATCTAGACAGAAGCATTCTCAGAAACACCTTCGTGATGTTTGCAATCAAGTCACAGAGTTGAACCTTCCGTTTCATAGAGCAGGTTGGAAACACTCTTTTTGTAGTATCTGGAAGTGGACATTTGGAGGGCTTTGTAGCCTATGTGGAAAAAGGAAATATCTTCCCATGAATGCGAGATAGAAGTAATCTCAGAAACATGTTTATGCTGTATCTACTCAACTAACTGTGCTGAACATTTCTATTGATAGAGCAGTTTTGAGACACTCTTCTTTTGGAATCTGCAAGTGGATATTTGGATAGATTTGAGGATTTCGTTGGAAACGGGATTATATATCAAAAGTAGACAGCAGCATTCTCAGAAACTTCTTTGTGATGTTTGCATCCAGCTCTCAGAGTTGAACATTCCCTTTCATAGAGTAGGTTTGAAACCCTCTTTTTATAGTGTCTGGAAGCGGGCATTTGGAGCGCTTTCAGGCCTATGCTGAAAAAGGAAATATCTACCTATGGAAACTAGACAGAAGCATTCTGAGAATCACGTTTGTGATGTGGGTACTCAACTAACAGTGTTGATCCATTCTTTTGATACAGCAGTTTTGAACCACACTTTTTGTAGAATCTGCAAGTGGATATTTGGATAGCTGTGAGGATTTCGTTGGAAACGGGAATGTCTTCATAGAAAATTTAGACAGAAGCATTCTCAGAACCTTGATTGTGATGTGTGTTCTCCACTAACAGAGTTGAACCTTTCTTTTGACAGAACTGTTCTGAAACATTCTTTTTATAGAATCTGGAAGTGGATATTTGGAAAGCTTTGAGGATTTCGTTGGAAACGGGAATATCTTCAAATCAAATTAGCCAGAAGCATTCTAAGAAACATCTTAGGGATGTTTACATTCAAGTCACAGAGTTGAACATTCCCTTTCACAGAGCAGGTTTGAAACAATCTTCTCGTACTATCTGGCAGTGGACATTTTGAGCTCCTTGGGGCCTATGCTGAAAAAGGAAATATCTTCCGACAAAAACTAGACAGAAGCATTTGCAGAATCACGTTTGTGATGTGTGCACTCAACTGTCAGAATTGAACCTTGGTTTGGACAGAGCACTTTTGAAACACTCTTTTTGTAGAATCTGCAGGTGGATATTTGGCTAGCTTTGAGGATTTCGTTGGAAACGGTAATGTCTTCAAAGAAAATCTAGACAGAAGCATTCTCAGAAACAACTTCGTGATGTTTGCAATCAAGTCACAGAGTTGAACCTTCCGTTTCATAGAGCAGGTTGGAAACACTCTTTTTGTAGTATCTGGAAGTGGACATTTGGAGGGCTTTGTAGCCTATCTGGAAAAAGGAAATATCTTCCCATGAATGCGAGATAGAAGTAATCTCAGAAACATGTTTATGCTGTATCTACTCAACTAACTGTGCTGAACATTTCTATTGATAGAGCAGTTTTGAGACACTCTTCTTTTGGAATCTGCAAGTGGATATTTGGATAGATTTGAGGATTTCGTTGGAAACGGGATTATATATAAAAAGTAGACAGCAGCATTCTCAGAAACTTCTTTGTGATGTTTGCATCCAGCTCTCAGAGTTGAGCATTCCCTTTCATAGAGTAGGTTTGAAACCCTCTTTTTATAGTGTCTGGAAGCGGGCATTTGGAGCGCTTTCAGGCCTATGCTTAAAATAGGAAATATCTACCTACAGAAACTAGACAGAAGCATTCTGAGAATCACGTTTGTGATGTGGGTACCTCAACTAACAGTGTTGATCCATTCTTTTGATACAGCAGTTTTGAACCACACTTTTTGTAGAATCTGCAAGAGGATATTTGGATAGCTGTGAGGATTTCGTTGGAAACGGGAATGTCTTCAAAGAAAATCTAGACAGAAGCATTCTCAGAACCTTGATTGTGATGTGTGTTCTCCACTAACAGAGTTGAACCTTTCTTTTGACAGAACTGTTCTGAAACATTCTTTTTATAGAATCTGGAAGTGGATATTTGGAAAGCTTTGAGGATTTCGTTGGAAACGGGAATATCTTCAAATAAAATCTAGCCAGAAGCATTCTAAGAAACATCTTAGGGATGTTTACATTCAAGTCACAGAGTTGAACATTCCCTTTCACAGAGCAGGTTTGAAACAATCTTCTCGTACTATCTGGAAGTGGACATTTTGAGCTCCTTGGGGCCTATGCTGAAAAAGGAAATATCTTCCGACAAAAACTAGACAGAAGCATTCGCAGAATCACGTTTGTGATGTGTGCACTCAACTGTCAGAATTGAACCTTGGTTTGGACAGAGCACTTTTGAAACACTCTTTTTGTAGAATCTGCAGGTGGATATTTGGCTAGCTTTGAGGATTTCGTTGGAAACGGTAATGTCTTCAAAGAAAATCTACACAGAAGCATTCTCAGAAACACCTTCGTGATGTTTGCAATCAAGTCACAGAGTTGAACCTTCCGTTTCATAGAGCAGGTTGGAAACACTCTTTTTGTAGTATCTGGAAGTGGACATTTGGAGGGCTTTGTAGCCTATCTGGAAAAAGGAAATATCTTCCCATGAATGCGAGATAGAAGTAATCTCAGAAACATGTTTATGCTGTATCTACTCAACTAACTGTGCTGAACATTTCTATTGATAGAGCAGTTTTGAGACACTCTTCTTTTGGAATCTGCAAGTGGATATTTGGATAGATTTGAGGATTTCGTTGGAAACGGGATTATATATCAAAAGTTGACAGCAGCATTCTCAGAAACTTCTTTGTGATGTTTGCATCCAGCTCTCAGAGTTGAACATTCCCTTTCATAGAGTAGGTTTGAAACCCTCTTTTTATAGTGTCTGGAAGCGGGCATTTGGAGCGCTTTCAGGCCTATGCTGAAAAAGGAAATATCTACCTATAGAAACTAGACAGAAGCATTCTGAGAATCACGTTTGTGATGTGGGTACTCAACTAACAGTGTTGATCCATTCTTTTGATACAGCAGTTTTGAACCACACTTTTTGTAGAATCTGCAAGTGGATATTTGGATAGCTGTGAGGATTTCGTTGGAAACGGGAATGTCTTCATAGAAAATTTAGAGAGAAGCATTCTCAGAACCTTGATTGTGATGTGTGTTCTCCACTAACAGAGTTGAACCTTTCTTTTGACAGAACTGTTCTGAAACATTCTTTTTATAGAATCTGGAAGTGGATATTTGGAAAGCTTTGAGGATTTCGTTGGAAACGGGAATATCTTCAAATCAAATCTAGCCAGAAGCATTCTAAGAAACAGCTTAGGGATGTTTACATTCAAGTCACAGAGTTGAACATTCCCTTTCACAGAGCAGGTTTGAAACAATCTTCTCGTACTATCTGGCAGTGGACATTTTGAGCTCTTTGGGGCCTATGCTGAAAAAGGAAATATCTTCCGACAAAAACTAGACAGAAGCATTCGCAGAATCACGTTTGTGATGTGTGCACTCAACTGTCAGAATTGAACCTTGGTTTGGACAGAGCACTTTTGAAACACTCTTTTTGTAGAATCTGCAGGTGGATATTTGGCTAGCTTTGAGGATTTCGTTGGAAACGGTAATGTCTTCAAAGAAAATCTAGACAGAAGCATTCTCAGAAACACCTTCGTGATATTTGCAATCAAGTCACAGAGTTGAACCTTCCGTTTCATAGAGCAGGTTGGAAACACTCTTTTTGTAGTATCTGGAAGTGGACATTTGGAGGGCTTTGTAGCCTATCTGGAAAAAGGAAATATCTTCCCATGAATGCGAGATAGAAGTAATCTCAGAAACATGTTTATGCTGTATCTACTCAACTAACTGTGCTGAACATTTCTATTGATAGAGCAGTTTTGAGACACTCTTCTTTTGGAATCTGCAAGTGGATATTTGGATAGATTTGAGGATTTCGTTGGAAACGGGATTATATATCAAAAGTAGACAGCAGCATTCTCAGAAACTTCTTTGTGATGTTTGCATCCAGCTCTCAGAGTTGAACATTCCCTTTCATAGAGTAGGTTTGAAACCCTCTTTTTATAGTGTCTGGAAGCGGGCATTTGGAGCGCTTTCAGGCCTATGCTGAAAAAGGAAATATCTACCTACAGAAACTAGTCAGAAGCATTCTGAGAATCACGTTTGTGATGTGGGTACTCAACTAACAGTGTTGATCCATTCTTTTGATACAGCAGTTTTGAACCACACTTTTTGTAGAATCTGCAAGTGGATATTTGGATAGCTGTGAGGATTTCGTTGGAAACGGGAATGTCTTCATAGAAAATTTAGACAGAAGCATTCTCAGAACCTTGATTGTGATGTGTGTTCTCCACTAACAGAGTTGAACCTTTCTTTTGACAGAACTGTTCTGAAACATTCTTTTTATAGAATCTGGAAGTGGATATTTGGAAAGCTTTGAGGATTTCGTTGGAAACGGGAATATCTTCAAAGAAAATCTAGCCAGAAGCATTCTAAGAAACATCTTAGGGATGTTTACATTCAAGTCACAGAGTTGAACATTCCCTTTCACAGAGCAGGTTTGAAACAATCTTCTCGTACTATCTGGCAGTGGACATTTTGAGCTCCTTGGGGCCTATGCTGAAAAAGGAAATATCTTCCGACAAAAACTAGACAGAAGCATTCGCAGAATCAGGTTTGTGATGTGTGCACTCAACTGTCAGAATTGAACCTTGGTTTGGACAGAGCACTTTTGAAACACTCTTTTTGTAGAATCTGCAGGTGGATATTTGGCTAGCTTTGAGGATTTCGTTGGAAACGGTAATGTCTTCAAAGAAAATCTAGACAGAAGCATTCTCAGAAACACCTTCGTGATGTTTGCAATCAAGTCACAGAGTTGAACCTTCCGTTTCATAGAGCAGGTTGGAAACACTCTTTTTGTAGTATCTGGAAGTGGACATTTGGAGGGCTTTGTAGCCTATCTGGAAAAAGGAAATATCTTCCCATGAATGCGAGATAGAAGTAATCTCAGAAACATGTTTATGCTGTATCTACTCAACTAACTGTGCTGAACATTTCTATTGATAGAGCAGTTTTGAGACACTCTTCTTTTGGAATCTGCAAGTGGATATTTGGATAGATTTGAGGATTTCGTTGGAAACGGGATTATATAACAAAAGTAGACAGCAGCATTCTCAGAAACTTCTTTGTGATGTTTGCATCCAGCTCTCAGAGTTGAACATTCCCTTTCATAGAGTAGGTTTGAAACCCTCTTTTTATAGTGTCTGGAAGCGGGCATTTGGAGCGCTTTCGGGCCTATGCTGAAAAAGGAAATATCTACCTATAGAAACTAGACAGAAGCATTCTGAGAATCACGTTTGTGATGTGGGTACTCAACTAACAGTGTTGATCCATTCTTTTGATACAGCAGTTTTGAACCACACTTTTTGTAGAATCTGCAAGTGGATATTTGGATAGCTGTGAGGATTTCGTTGGAAACGGGAATGTCTTCATAGAAAATTTAGACAGAAGCATTCTCAGAACCTTGATTGTGATGTGTGTTCTCCACTAACAGAGTTGAACCTTTCTTTTGACAGAACTGTTCTGAAACATTCTTTTTATAGAATCTGGAAGTGGATATTTGGAAAGCTTTGAGGATTTCGTTGGAAACGGGAATATCTTCAAATGAAATCTAGCCAGAAGCATTCTAAGAAACATCTTAGGGATGTTTACATTCAAGTCACAGAGTTGAACATTCCCTTTCACAGAGCAGGTTTGAAACAATCTTCTCGTACTATCTGGCAGTGGACATTTTGAGCTCCTTGGGGCCTATGCTGAAAAAGGAAATATCTTCCGACAAAAACTAGACAGAAGCATTCGCAGAATCACGTTTGTGTTGTGTGCACTCAACTGTCAGAATTGAACCTTGGTTTGGACAGAGCACTTTTGAAACACTCTTTTTGTAGAATCTGCAGGTGGATATTTGGCTAGCTTTGAGGATTTCGTTGGAAACGGTAATGTCTTCAAAGAAAATCTAGACAGAAGCATTCTCAGAAACACCTTCGTGATGTTTGCAATCAAGTCACAGAGTTGAACCTTCCGTTTCATAGAGCAGGTTGGAAACACTCTTTTTGTAGTATCTGGAAGTGGACATTTGGAGGGCTTTGTAGCCTATCTGGAAAAAGGAAATATCTTCCCATGAATGCGAGATAGAAGTAATCTCAGAAACATGTTTATGCTGTATCTACTCAACTAACTGTGCTGAACATTTCTATTGATAGAGCAGTTTTGAGACACTCTTCTTTTGGAATCTGCAAGTGGATATTTGGATAGATTTGAGGATTTCGTTGGAAACGGGATTATATATAAAAAGTAGACAGCAGCATTCTCAGAAACTTCTTTGTGATGTTTGCATCCAGCTCCCAGAGTTGAACATTCCCTTTCATAGAGTAGGTTTGAAACCCTCTTTTTATAGTGTCTGGAAGCGGGCATTTGGAGCGCTTTCAGGCCTATGCTGAAAAAGGAAATATCTACCTATAGAAACTAGACAGAAGCATTCTGAGAATCACGTTTGTGATGTGGGTACTCAACTAACAGTGTTGATCCATTCTTTTGATACAGCAGTTTTGAACCACACTTTTTGTAGAATCTGCAAGAGGATATTTGGATAGCTGTGAGGATTTCGTTGGAAACGGGAATGTCTTCAAAGAAAATCTAGACAGAAGCATTCTCAGAAACACCTTCGTGATGTTTGCAATCAAGTCACAGAGTTGAACCTTCCGTTTCATAGAGCAGGTTGGAAACACTCTTATTGTAGTATCTGGAAGTGGACATTTGGAGCGCTTTCAGGCCTATGGTGAAAAAGGAAATATCTTCCCATAAAAACGACATAGAAGCTATCTCAGGAACTTGTTTATGATGCATCTAATCAACTAACAGTGTTGAACCTTTGTACTGACAGAGCAGTTTGAAACACTCTTTTTTTGGAATCTGCAAGTGGATATTTGGATCGCTTTGAGGATTTCGTTGGAAACGGGATGCAATATAAAACGTACACAGCAGCATACTCAGAAAATACTTTGCCATATTTCCATTCAAGTCACAGAGTGGAACATTCCCATTCATAGAGCAGGTTGGAAACACTCTTTTTGGAGTATCTGGAAGTGGACATTTGGAGCGCTTTCTGAACTATGGTGAAAAAGGAAATATCTTCCAATGAAAACAAGACAGAAGCATTCTGAGAAACTTATTTGTGATGTGTGTCCTCAACAAACGGACTTGAACCTTTCGTTTCATGCAGTACTTCTGGAACACTCTTTTTGAAGATTCTGCATGCGGATATTTGGATAGCTTTGAGGATTTCGTTGGAAACGGGCTTACATGTAAAAATTAGACAGCAGCATTCTCAGAAACTTCTTTGTGGTGTCTGCATTCAAGTCACAGAATTGAACTTCCCCTCACATAGAGCAGTTGTGCAGCACTCTATTTGTAGTATCTCGAAGTGGACATTTGGAGGGCTTTGTAGCCTACTTGGAAAAAGGAAATATCTTCCCATGAATGCGAGATAGAAGTAATCTCAGAAACATGTTTATGCTGTATCTACTCAACTAACTGTGCTGAACATTTCTATTGATAGAGCAGTTTTGAGACACTCTTCTTTTGGAATCTGCAAGTGGATATTTGGATAGATTTGAGGATTTCGTTGGAAACGGGATTATATATAAAAAGTAGACAGCAGCATTCTCAGAAACTTCTTTGTGATGTTTGCATCCAGCTCTCAGAGTTGAACATTCCCTTTCATAGAGTAGGTTTGAAACCCTCTTTTTATAGTGTCTGGAAGCGGGCATTTGGAGCGCTTTCAGGCCTATGCTTAAAATAGGAAATATCTACCTACAGAAACTAGACAGAAGCATTCTGAGAATCACGTTTGTGATGTGGGTACTCAACTAACAGTGTTGATCCATTCTTTTGATACAGCAGTTTTGAACCACACTTTTTGTAGAATCTGCAAGAGGATATTTGGATAGCTGTGAGGATTTCGTTGGAAACGGGAATGTCTTCAAAGAAAATCTAGACAGAAGCATTCTCAGAAACACCTTCGTGATGTTTGCAATCAAGTCACAGAGTTGAACCTTCCGTTTCATAGAGCAGGTTGGAAACACTCTTATTGTAGTATCTGGAAGTGGACATTTGGAGCGCTTTCAGGCCTATGGTGAAAAAGGAAATATCTTCCCATAAAAACGACATAGAAGCTATCTCAGGAACTTGTTTATGATGCATCTAATCAACTAACAGTGTTGAACCTTTGTACTGACAGAGCACTTTGAAACACTCTTTTTTTGGAATCTGCAAGTGGATATTTGGATCGCTTTGAGGATTTCGTTGGAAACGGGATGCAATATAAAACGTACACAGCAGCATACTCAGAAAATACTTTGCCATGTTTCCATTCAAGTCACAGAGTGGAACATTCCCATTCATAGAGCAGGTTGGAAACACTCTTTTTGGAGTATCTGGAAGTGGACATTTGGAGCGCTTTTTGAACTATGGTGAAAAAGGAAATATCTTCCAATGAAAACAAGACAGAAGCATTCTGAGAAACTTATTTGTGATGTGTGTCCTCAACAAACGGACTTGAACCTTTCGTTTCATGCAGTACTTCTGGAACACTCTTTTTGAAGATTCTGCATGCGGATATTTGGATAGCTTTGAGGATTTCGTTGGAAACGGGCTTACATGTAAAAATTAGACAGCAGCATTCTCAGAAACTTCTTTGTGGTGTCTGCATTCAAGTCACAGAATTGAACTTCCCCTCACATAGAGCAGTTGTGCAGCACTCTATTTGTAGTATCTGGAAGTGGACATTTGGAGGGCTTTGTAGCCTATCTGGAAAAAGGAAATATCTTCCCATGAATGCGAGATAGTAGTAATCTCAGAAACATGTTTATGCTGTATCTACTCAACTAACTGTGCTGAACATTTCTATTGATAGAGCAGTTTTGAGACACTCTTCTTTTGGAATCTGCAAGTGGATATTTGGATAGATTTGAGGATTTCGTTGGAAACGGGATTATATATAAAAAGTAGACAGCAGCATTCTCAGAAACTTCTTTGTGATGTTTGCATCCAGCTCTCAGAGTTGAACATTCCCTTTCATAGAGTAGGTTTGAAACCCTCTTTTTATAGTGTCTGGAAGCGGGCATTTGGAGCGCTTTCAGGCCTATGCTGAAAAAGGAAATATCTACCTATAGAAACTAGACAGAAGCATTCTGAGAATCACGTTTGTGATGTGGGTACTCAACTAACAGTGTTGATCCATTCTTTTGATACAGCAGTTTTGAACCACACTTTTTGTAGAATCTGCAAGTGGATATTTGGATAGCTGTGAGGATTTCGTTGGAAACGGGAATGTCTTCATAGAAAATTTAGACAGAAGCATTCTCAGAACCTTGATTGTGATGTGTGTTCTCCACTAACAGAGTTGAACCTTTCTTTTGACAGAACTGTTCTGAAACATTCTTTTTGTAGAATCTGGAAGTGGATATTTGGAAAGCTTTGAGGATTTCGTTGGAAACGGGAATATCTTCAAATAAAATCTAGCCAGAAGCATTCTAAGAAACATCTTAGGGATGTTTACATTCAAGTCACAGAGTTGAACATTCCCTTTCACAGAGCAGGTTTGAAACAATCTTCTCGTACTATCTGGCAGTGGACATTTTGAGCTCCTTGGGGCCTATGCTGAAAAAGGAAATATCTTCCGACAAAAACTAGACAGAAGCATTCGCAGAATCACGTTTGTGATGTGTGCACTCAACTGTCAGAATTGAACCTTGGTTTGGACAGAGCACTTTTGAAACACTCTTTTTGTAGAATCTGCAGGTGGATATTTGGCTAGCTTTGAGGATTTCGTTGGAAACGGTAATGTCTTCAAAGAAAATCTAGACAGAAGCATTCTCAGAAACACCTTCGTGATGTTTGCAATCAAGTCACAGAGTTGAACCTTCCGTTTCATAGAGCAGGTTGGAAACACACTTTTTGTAGTATCTGGAAGTGGACATTTGGAGGGCTTTGTAGCCTATCTGGAAAAAGGAAATATCTTCCCATGAATGCGAGATAGAAGCTATCTCAGGAACTTGTTTATGATGCATCTAATCAACTAACAGTGTTGAACCTTTGTACTGACAGAGCAGTTTGAAACACTCTTTTTTTGGAATCTGCAAGTGGATATTTGGATCGCTTTGAGGATTTCGTTGGAAACGGGATGCAATATAAAACGTACACAGCAGCATACTCAGAAAATACTTTGCCATATTTCCATTCAAGTCACAGAGTGGAACATTCCCATTCATAGAGCAGGTTTGAAACACTCTTTTTGGAGTATCTGGAAGTGGACATTTGGAGCGCTTTCTGAACTATGGTGAAAAAGGAAATATCTTCCAATGAAAACAAGACAGAAGCATTCTGAGAAACTTATTTGTGATGTGTGTCCTCAACAAACGGACTTGAACATTTCGTTTCATGCAGTACTTCTGGAACACTCTTTTTGAAGATTCTGCATGCGGATATTTGGATAGCTTTGAGGATTTCGTTGGAAACGGGCTTACATGTAAAAATTAGACAGCAGCATTCTCAGAAACTTCTTTGTGGTGTCTGCATTCAAGTCACAGAATTGAACTTCCCCTCACATAGAGCAGTTGTGCAGCACTCTATTTGTAGTATCTCGAAGTGGACATTTGGAGGGCTTTGTAGCCTATCTGGAAAAAGGAAATATCTTCCCATGAATGCGAGATAGAAGTAATCTCAGAAACATGTTTATGCTGTATCTACTCAACTAACTGTGCTGAACATTTCTATTGATAGAGCAGTTTTGAGACACTCTTCTTTTGGAATCTGCAAGTGGATATTTGGATAGATTTGAGGATTTCGTTGGAAACGGGATTATATATAAAAAGTAGACAGCAGCATTCTCAGAAACTTCTTTGTGATGTTTGCATCCAGCTCTCAGAGTTGAACATTCCCTTTCATAGAGTAGGTTTGAAACCCTCTTTTTATAGTGTCTGGAAGCGGGCATTTGGAGCGCTTTCAGGCCTATGCTTAAAATAGGAAATATCTACCTACAGAAACTAGACAGAAGCATTCTGAGAATCACGTTTGTGATGTGGGTACTCAACTAACAGTGTTGATCCATTCTTTTGATACAGCAGTATTGAACCACACTTTTTCTAGAATCTGCAAGAGGATATTTGGATAGCTGTGAGGATTTCGTTGGAAACGGGAATGTCTTCAAAGAAAATCTAGACAGAAGCATTCTCAGAACCTTGATTGTGATGTGTGTTCTCCACTAACAGAGTTGAACCTTTCTTTTGACAGAACTGTTCTGAAACATTCTTTTTATAGAATCTGGAAGTGGATATTTGGAAAGCTTTGAGGATTTCGTTGGAAACGGGAATATCTTCAAATAAAATCTAGCCAGAAGCATTCTAAGAAACATCTTAGGGATGTTTACATTCAAGTCACAGAGTTGAACATTCCCTTTCACAGCAGCAGGTTTGAAACAATCTTCTCGTACTATCTGGCAGTGGACATTTTGAGCTCCTTGGGGCCTATGCTGAAAAAGGAAATATCTTCCGACAAAAACTAGACAGAAGCATTCGCAGAATCACGTTTGTGATGTGTGCACTCAACTGTCAGAAGTGAACCTTGGTTTGGAGAGAGCACTTTTGAAACACACTTTTTGTAGAATCTGCAGGTGGATATTTGGCTAGCTTTGAGGATTTCGTTGGAAACGGTAATGTCTTCAAAGAAAATCTAGACAGA
The DNA here is from genome assembly GCF_000001405.40 of Homo sapiens. Taxonomy (NCBI): domain Eukaryota; kingdom Metazoa; phylum Chordata; class Mammalia; order Primates; family Hominidae; genus Homo; species Homo sapiens. The sequence goes on from NC_000008.11 coordinate 45,338,810, forward strand.
AGCATTCTCAGAAACACCTTCGTGATGTTTGCAATCAAGTCACAGAGTTGAACCTTCCGTTTCATAGAGCAGGTTGGAAACACACTTTTTGTAGTATCTGGAAGTGGACATTTGGAGGGCTTTGTAGCCTATCTGGAAAAAGGAAATATCTTCCCATGAATGCGAGATAGAAGCTATCTCAGGAACTTGTTTATGATGCATCTAATCAACTAACAGTGTTGAACCTTTGTACTGACAGAGCAGTTTGAAACACTCTTTTTTTGGAATCTGCAAGTGGATATTTGGATCGCTTTGAGGATTTCGTTGGAAACGGGATGCAATATAAAACGTACACAGCAGCATACTCAGAAAATACTTTGCCATATTTCCATTCAAGTCACAGAGTGGAACATTCCCATTCATAGAGCAGGTTTGAAACACTTTTTTTGGAGTGTCTGGAAGTGGACATTTGGAGCGCTTTCAGAACTATGGTGAAAAAGGAAATATCTTCCAATGAAAACAAGACAGAAGCATTCTGAGAAACTTATTTGTGATGCGTGTCCTCAACTAACGGACTCGAACCTTTCGTTTCACGCAGTACTTCTGGAACACTCTTTTTGAAGATTCTGCATGCGGATATTTGGATAGCTTTGAGGATTTCGTTGGAAACGGGCTTACATATAAAAATTAGACAGCAGCATTCTCAGAAACTTCTTTGTGGTGTCTGCATTCAAGTCACAGAATTGAACATCCCCTCACATTGAGCAGTTGTGCAGCACTCTATTTGTAGTATCTCGAAGAGGACATTTGGAGGGCTTTGTAGCCTATATGGAAAAAGGAAATATCTTCCCATGAAAGCGAGATAGAAGTAATCTCAGAAACATGTTTATGCTGTATCTACTCAACTAACTGTGCTGAACATTTCTATTGATAGAGCAGTTTTGAGACACTCTTCTTTTGGAATCTGCAAGTGGATATTTGGATAGATTTGAGGATTTCGTTGGAAACGGGATTATATATAAAAAGTAGACAGCAGCATTCTCAAAACTTCTTTGTGATGTTTGCATCCAGCTCTCAGAGTTGAACATTCCCTTTCATAGAGTAGGTTTGAAACCCCCTTTTTATAGTGTCTGGAAGCGGGCATTTGGAGCGCTTTCAGGCCTATGCTGAAAAAGGAAATATCTACCTACAGAAACTAGACAGAAGCATTCTGAGAATCACGTTTGTGATGTGGGTACTCAACTAACAGTGTTGATCCATTCTTTTGATACAGCAGTTTTGAACCACACTTTTTGTAGAATCTGCAAGTGGATATTTGGATAGCTGTGAGGATTTCGTTGGAAACGGGAATGTCTTCATAGAAAATTTAGACAGAAGCATTCTCAGAACCTTGATTGTGATGTGTGTTCTCCACTAACAGAGTTGAACCTTTCTTTTGACAGAACTGTTCTGAAACATTCTTTTTATAGAATCTGGAAGTGGATATTTGGAAAGCTTTGAGGATTTCGTTGGAAACGGGAATATCTTCAAATCAAATCTAGCCAGAAGCATTCTAAGAAACATCTTAGGGATGTTTACATTCAAGTCACAGAGTTGAACATTCCCTTTCACAGAGCAGGTTTGAAACAATCTTCTCGTACTATCTGGCAGTGGACATTTTGAGCTCCTTGGGGCCTATGCTGAAAAAGGAAATATCTTCCGACAAAAACTAGACAGAAGCATTCGCAGAATCACGTTTGTGATGTGTGCACTCAACTGTCAGAATTGAACCTTGGTTTGGAGAGAGCACTTTTGAAACACACTTTTTGTAGAATCTGCAGGTGGATATTTGGCTAGCTTTGAGGATTTCGTTGGAAACGGTAATGTCTTCAAAGAAAATACTAGACAGAAGCATTCTCAGAAACACTTCGTGATGTTTGCAATCAAGTCACAGAGTTGAACCTTCCGTTTCATAGAGCAGGTTGGAAACACTCTTATTGTAGTATCTGGAAGTGGACATTTGGAGCGCTTTCAGGCCTATGGTGAAAAAGGAAATATCTTCCCATAAAAACGACATAGAAGCTATCTCAGGAACTTGTTTATGATGCATCTAATCAACTAACAGTGTTGAACCTTTGTACTGACAGAGCAGTTTGAAACACTCTTTTTTTGGAATCTGCAAGTGGATATTTGGATCGCTTTGAGGATTTCGTTGGAAACGGGATGCAATATAAAACGTACACAGCAGCATACTCAGAAAATACTTTGCCATATTTCCATTCAAGTCACAGAGTGGAACATTCCCATTCATAGAGCAGGTTGGAAACACTCTTTTTGGAGTATCTGGAAGTGGACATTTGGAGCGCTTTCTGAACTATGGTGAAAAAGGAAATATCTTCCAATGAAAACAAGACAGAAGCATTCTGAGAAACTTATTTGTGATGTGTGTCCTCAACAAACGGACTTGAACCTTTCGTTTCATGCAGTACTTCTGGAACACTCTTTTTGAAGATTCTGCATGCGGATATTTGGATAGCTTTGAGGATTTCGTTGGAAACGGGCTTACATGTAAAAATTAGACAGCAGCATTCTCAGAAACTTCTTTGTGGTGTCTGCATTCAAGTCACAGAATTGAACTTCCCCTCACATAGAGCAGTTGTGCAGCACTCTATTTGTAGTATCTGGAAGTGGACATTTGGAGGGCTTTGTAGCCTATCTGGAAAAAGGAAATATCTTCCCATGAATGCGAGATAGAAGTAATCTGAGAAACATGTTTATGCTGTATCTACTCAACTAACTGTGCTGAACATTTCTATTGATAGAGCAGTTTTGAGACCCTCTTCTTTTGGAATCTGCAAGTGGATATTTGGATAGATTTGAGGATTTCGTTGGAAACGGGATTATATATAAAAAGTAGACAGCAGCATTCTCAGAAACTTCTTTGTGATGTTTGCATCCAGCTCTCAGAGTTGAACATTCCCTTTCATAGAGTAGGTTTGAAACCCTCTTTTTATAGTGTCTGGAAGCGGGCATTTGGAGCGCTTTCAGGCCTATGCTTAAAATAGGAAATATCTACCTACAGAAACTAGACAGTAGCATTCTGAGAATCACGTTTGTGATGTGGGTACTCAACTAACAGTGTTGATCCATTCTTTTGATACAGCAGTATTGAACCACACTTTTTCTAGAATCTGCAAGAGGATATTTGGATAGCTGTGAGGATTTCGTTGGAAACGGGAATGTCTTCAAAGAAAATCTAGACAGAAGCATTCTCAGAACCTTGATTGTGATGTGTGTTCTCCACTAACAGAGTTGAACCTTTCTTTTGACAGAACTGTTCTGAAACATTCTTTTTATAGAATCTGGAAGTGGATATTTGGAAAGCTTTGAGGATTTCGTTGGAAACGGGAATATCTTCAAATAAAATCTAGCCAGAAGCATTCTAAGAAACAGCTTAGGGATGTTTACATTCAAGTCACAGAGTTGAACATTCCCTTTCACAGAGCAGGTTTGAAACAATCTTCTCGTACTATCTGGCAGTGGACATTTTGAGCTCTTTGGGGCCTATGCTGAAAAAGGAAATATCTTCCGACAAAAACTAGACAGAAGCATTCGCAGAATCACGTTTGTGATGTGTGCACTCAACTGTCAGAATTGAACCTTGGTTTGGACAGAGCACTTTTGAAACACTCTTTTTGTAGAATCTGCAGGTGGATATTTGGCTAGCTTTGAGGATTTCGTTGGAAACGGTAATGTCTTCAAAGAAAATCTAGACAGAAGCATTCTCAGAAACACCTTCGTGATGTTTGCAATCAAGTCACAGAGTTGAACCTTCCGTTTCATAGAGCAGGTTGGAAACACTCTTTTTGTAGTATCTTGAAGTGGACATTTGGAGGGCTTTGTAGCCTATCTGGAAAAAGGAAATATCTTCCCATGAATGCGAGATAGAAGTAATCTCAGAAACATGTTTATGCTGTATCTACTCAACTAACTGTGCTGAACATTTCTATTGATAGAGCAGTTTTGAGACACTCTTCTTTTGGAATCTGCAAGTGGATATTTGGATAGATTTGAGGATTTCGTTGGAAACGGGATTATATATAAAAAGTAGACAGCAGCATTCTCAGAAACTTCTTTGTGATGTTTCCATCCAGCTCTCAGAGTTGAACATTCCCTTTCATAGAGTAGGTTTGAAACCCTCTTTTTATAGTGTCTGGAAGCGGGCATTTGGAGCGCTTTCAGGCCTATGCTGAAAAAGGAAATATCTACCTATAGAAACTAGACAGAAGCATTCTGAGAATCACGTTTGTGATGTGGGTACTCAACTAACAGTGTTGATCCATTCTTTTGATACAGCAGTTTTGAACCACACTTTTTGTAGAATCTGCAAGTGGATATTTGGATAGCTGTGAGGATTTCGTTGGAAACGGGAATGTCTTCATAGAAAATTTAGACAGAAGCATTCTCAGAACCTTGATTGTGATGTGTGTTCTCCACTAACAGAGTTGAACCTTTCTTTTGACAGAACTGTTCTGAAACATTCTTTTTGTAGAATCTGGAAGTGGATATTTGGAAAGCTTTGAGGATTTCGTTGGAAACGGGAATATCTTCAAATCAAATCTAGCCAGAAGCATTCTAAGAAACATCTTAGGGATGTTTACATTCAAGTCACAGAGTTGAACATTCCCTTTCACAGAGCAGGTTTGAAACAATCTTCTCGTACTATCTGGCAGTGGACATTTTGAGCTCCTTGGGGCCTATGCTGAAAAAGGAAATATCTTCCGACAAAAACTAGACAGAAGCATTCGCAGAATCACGTTTGTGATGTGTGCACTCAACTGTCAGAATTGAACCTTGGTTTGGACAGAGCACTTTTGAAACACTCTTTTTGTAGAATCTGCAGGTGGATATTTGGCTAGCTTTCAGGATTTCGTTGGAAACGGTAATGTCTTCAAAGAAAATCTAGACAGAAGCATTCTCAGAAACACCTTCGTGATGTTTGCAATCAAGTCACAGAGTTGAACCTTCCGTTTCATAGAGCAGGTTGGAAACACTCTTTTTGTAGTATCTGGAAGTGGACATTTGGAGGGCTTTGTAGCCTATCTGGAAAAAGGAAATATCTTCCCATGAATGCGAGATAGATGTAATCTCAGAAACATGTTTATGCTGTATCTACTCAACTAACTGTGCTGAACATTTCTATTGATAGAGCAGTTTTGAGACACTCTTCTTTTGGAATCTGCAAGTGGATATTTGGATAGATTTGAGGATTTCGTTGGAAACGGGATTATATATAAAAAGTAGACAGCAGCATTCTCAGAAACTTCTTTGTGATGTTTGCATCCAGCTCTCAGAGTTGAACATTCCCTTTCATAGAGTAGGTTTGAAACCCTCTTTTTATAGTGTCTGGAAGCGGGCATTTGGAGCGCTTTCAGGCCTATGCTGAAAAAGGAAATATCTACCTATAGAAACTAGACAGAAGCATTCTGAGAATCACGTTTCTGATGTGGGTACTCAACTAACAGTGTTGATCCATTCTTTTGATACAGCAGTTTTGAACCACACTTTTTGTAGAATCTGCAAGTGGATATTTGGATAGCTGTGAGGATTTCGTTGGAAACGGGAATGTCTTCATAGAAAATTTAGACAGAAGCATTCTCAGAACCTTGATTGTGATGTGTGTTCTCCACTAACAGAGTTGAACCTTTCTTTTGACAGAACTGTTCTGAAACATTCTTGTTATAGAATCTGGAAGTGGATATTTGGAAAGCTTTGAGGATTTCGTTGGAAACGGGAATATCTTCAAATCAAATCTAGCCAGAAGCATTCTAAGAAACATCTTAGGGATGTTTACATTCAAGTCACAGAGTTGAACATTCCCTTTCACAGAGCAGGTTTGAAACAATCTTCTCGTACTATCTGGCAGTGGACATTTTGAGCTCCTTGGGGCCTATGCTGAAAAAGGAAATATCTTCCGACAAAAACTAGACAGAAGCATTCGCAGAATCACGTTTGTGATGTGTGCACTCAACTGTCAGAATTGAACCTTTGGTTTGGACAGAGCACTTTTGAAACACTCTTTTTGTAGAATCTGCAGGTGGATATTTGGCTAGCTTTGAGGATTTCGTTGGAAACGGTAATGTCTTCAAAGAAAATCTAGACAGA
>NC_000008.11:45864352-45877265 GCF_000001405.40 Homo sapiens
AGCATTCTCAGAAACACCTTCGTGATGTTTGCAATCAAGTCACAGAGTTGAACCTTCCGTTTCATAGAGCAGGTTGGAAACACTCTTATTGTAGTATCTGGAAGTGGACATTTGGAGCGCTTTCAGGCCTATGGTGAAAAAGGAAATATCTTCCCATAAAAACGACATAGAAGCTATCTCAGGAACTTGTTTATGATGCATCTAATCAACTAACAGTGTTGAACCTTTGTACTGACAGAGCAGGTTGAAACACTTTTTTTTTGGAATCTGCAAGTGGATATTTGGATCGCTTTGAGGATTTCGTTGGAAACGGGATGCAATATAAAACGTACACAGCAGCATACTCAGAAAATACTTTGCCATATTTCCATTCAAGTCACAGAGTGGAACATTCCCATTCATAGAGCAGGTTGGAAACACTCTTTTTGGAGTATCTGGAAGTGGACATTTGGAGCGCTTTCTGAACTATGGTGAAAAAGGAAATATCTTCCAATGAAAACAAGACAGAAGCATTCTGAGAAACTTATTTGTGATGTGTGTCCTCAACAAACGGACTTGAACCTTTCGTTTCATGCAGTACTTCTGGAACACTCTTTTTGAAGATTCTGCATGCGGATATTTGGATAGCTTTGAGGATTTCGTTGGAAACGGGCTTACATATAAAAATTAGACAGCAGCATTCTCAGAAACTTCTTTGTGGTGTCTGCATTCAAGTCACAGAATTGAACTTCCCCTCACATAGAGCAGTTGTGCAGCACTCTATTTGTAGTATCTCGAAGTGGACATTTGGAGGGCTTTGTAGCCTATCTGGAAAAAGGAAATATCTTCCCATGAATGCGAGATAGAAGTAATCTCAGAAACATGTTTATGCTGTATCTACTCAACTAACTGTGCTGAACATTTCTATTGATAGAGCAGTTTTGAGACACTCTTCTTTTGGAATCTGCAAGTGGATATTTGGATAGATTTGAGGATTTCGTTGGAAACGGGATTATATATAAAAAGTAGACAGCAGCATTCTCAGAAACTTCTTTGTGATGTTTGCATCCAGCTCTCAGAGTTGAACATTCCCTTTCATAGAGTAGGTTTGAAACCCTCTTTTTATAGTGTCTGGAAGCGGGCATTTGGAGCGCTTTCAGGCCTATGCTTAAAATAGGAAATATCTACCTACAGAAACTAGACAGAAGCATTCTGAGAATCAAGTTTGTGATGTGGGTACTCAACTAACAGTGTTGATCCATTCTTTTGATACAGCAGTTTTGAACCACACTTTTTGTAGAATCTGCAAGTGGATATTTGGATAGCTGTGAGGATTTCGTTGGAAACGGGAATGTCTTCATAGAAAATTTAGACAGAAGCATTCTCAGAACCTTGATTGTGATGTGTGTTCTCCACTAACAGAGTTGAACCTTTCTTTTGACAGAACTGTTCTGAAACATTCTTTTTATAGAATCTGGAAGTGGATATTTGGAAAGCTTTGAGGATTTCGTTGGAAACGGGAATATCTTCAAATCAAATCTAGCCAGAAGCATTCTAAGAAACATCTTAGGGATGTTTACATTCAAGTCACAGAGTTGAACATTCCCTTTCACAGAGCAGGTTTGAAACAATCTTCTCGTACTATCTGGCAGTGGACATTTTGAGCTCCTTGGGGCCTATGCTGAAAAAGGAAATATCTTCCGACAAAAACTAGACAGAAGCATTCGCAGAATCACGTTTGTGATGTGTGCACTCAACTGTCGGAATTGAACCTTTGTTTGGACAGAGCACTTTTGAAACACTCTTTTTGTAGAATCTGCAGGTGGATATTTGACTAGCTTTGAGGATTTCGTTGGAAACGGTAATGTCTTCAAAGAAAATCTAGACAGAAGCATTCTCAGAAACACCTTCGTGATGTTTGCAATCAAGTCACAGAGTTGAACCTTCCGTTTCATAGAGCAGGTTGGAAACACTCTTATTGTAGTATCTGGAAGTGGACATTTGGAGCGCTTTCAGGCCTATGGTGAAAAAGGAAATATCTTCCCATAAAAACGACATAGAAGCTATCTCAGGAACTTGTTTATGATGCATCTAATCAACTAACAGTGTTGAACCTTTGTACTGACAGAGCAGTTTGAAACACTCTTTTTTTGGAATCTGCAAGTGGATATTTGGATCGCTTTGAGGATTTCGTTGGAAACGGGATGCAATATAAAACGTACACAGCAGCATACTCAGAAAATACTTTGCCATATTTCCATTCAAGTCACAGAGTGGAACATTCCCATTCATAGAGCAGGTTTGAAACACTTTTTTTGGAGTGTCTGGAAGTGGACATTTGGAGCGCTTTCAGAACTATGGTGAAAAAGGAAATATCTTCCAATGAAAACAAGACAGAAGCATTCTGAGAAACTTATTTGTGATGCGTGTCCTCAACTAACGGACTCGAACCTTTCGTTTCATGCAGTACTTCTGGAACACTCTTTTTGAAGATTCTGCATGCGGATATTTGGTTAGCTTTGAGGATTTCGTTGGAAACGGGCTTACATGTAAAAATTAGACAGCAGCATTCTCAGAAACTTCTTTGTGGTGTCTGCATTCAAGTCACAGAATTGAACTTCCCCTCACATAGAGCAGTTGTGCAGCACTCTATTTGTAGTATCTGGAAGTGGACATTTGGAGGGCTTTGTAGCCTATCTGGAAAAAGGAAATATCTTCCCATGAATGCGAGATAGAGAAGTAATCTCAGCAAACATGTTTATGCTGTATCTACTCAACTAACTGTGCTGAACATTTCTATTGATAGAGCAGTTTTGAGACACTCTTCTTTTGGAATCTGCAAGTGGATATTTGGATAGATTTGAGGATTTCGTTGGAAACGGGATTATATATAAAAAGTTGACAGCAGCATTCTCAGAAACTTCTTTGTGATGTTTGCATCCAGCTCTCAGAGTTGAACATTCCCTTTCATAGAGTAGGTTTGAAACCCTCTTTTTATAGTGTCTGGAAGCGGGCATTTGGAGCGCTTTCAGGCCTATGCTTAAAATAGGAAATATCTACCTACAGAAACTAGACAGAAGCATTCTGAGAATCACGTTTGTGATGTGGGTACTCAACTAACAGTGTTGATCCATTCTTTTGATACAGCAGTTTTGAACCACACTTTTTGTAGAATCTGCAAGTGGATATTTGGATAGCTGTGAGGATTTCGTTGGAAACGGGAATGTCTTCATAGAAAATTTAGACAGAAGCATTCTCAGAACCTTGATTGTGATGTGTGTTCTCCACTAACAGAGTTGAACCTTTCTTTTGACAGAACTGTTCTGAAACATTCTTTTTATAGAATCTGGAAGTGGATATTTGGAAAGCTTTGAGGATTTCGTTGGAAACGGGAATATCTTCAAATAAAATCTAGCCAGAAGCATTCTAAGAAACATCTTAGGGATGTTTACATTCAAGTCACAGAGTTGAACATTCCCTTTCACAGAGCAGGTTTGAAACAATCTTCTCGTAGTATCTGGAAGTGGACATTTTGAGCTCCTTGGGGCCTATGCTGAAAAAGGAAATATCTTCCGACAAAAACTAGACAGAAGCATTCGCAGAATCACGTTTGTGATGTGTGCACTCAACTGTCAGAATTGAACCTTGGTTTGGACAGAGCACTTTTGAAACACTCTTTTTGTAGAATCTGCAGGTGGATATTTGGCTAGCTTTGAGGATTTCGTTGGAAACGGTAATGTCTTCAAAGAAAATCTAGACAGAAGCATTCTCAGAAACACCTTCGTGATGTTTGCAATCAAGTCACAGAGTTGAACCTTCCGTTTCATAGAGCAGGTTGGAAACACTCTTTTTGTAGTATCTGGAAGTGGACATTTGGAGGGCTTTGTAGCCTATCTGGAAAAAGGAAATATCTTCCCATGAATGCGAGATAGAAGCTATCTCAGGAACTTGTTTATGATGCATCTAATCAACTAACAGTGTTGAACCTTTGTACTGACAGAGCAGTTTGAAACACTCTTTTTTTGGAATCTGCAAGTGGATATTTGGATCGCTTTGAGGATTTCGTTGGAAACGGGATGCAATATAAAACGTACACAGCAGCATACTCAGAAAATACTTTGCCATATTTCCATTCAAGTCACAGAGTGGAACATTCCCATTCATAGAGCAGGTTTGAAACACTCTTTTTGGAGTATCTGGAAGTGGACATTTGGAGCGCTTTCTGAACTATGGTGAAAAAGGAAATATCTTCCAATGAAAACAAGACAGAAGCATTCTGAGAAACTTATTTGTGATGTGTGTCCTCAACAAACGGACTTGAACCTTTCGTTTCATGCAGTACTTCTGGAACACTCTTTTTGAAGATTCTGCATGCGGATATTTGGATAGCTTTGAGGATTTCGTTGGAAACGGGCTTACATGTAAAAATTAGACAGCAGCATTCTCAGAAACTTCTTTGTGGTGTCTGCATTCAAGTCACAGAATTGAACTTCCCCTCACATAGAGCAGTTGTGCAGCACTCTATTTGTAGTATCTGGAAGTGGACATTTGGAGGGCTTTGTAGCCTATCTGGAAAAAGGAAATATCTTCCCATGAATGCGAGATAGAAGTAATCTCAGAAACATGTTTATGCTGTATCTACTCAACTAACTGTGCTGAACATTTCTATTGATAGAGCAGTTTTGAGACACTCTTCTTTTGGAATCTGCAAGTGGATATTTGGAGAGATTTGAGGATTTCGTTGGAAACGGGATTATATATAAAAAGTAGACAGCAGCATTCTCAGAAACTTCTTTGTGATGTTTGCATCCAGCTCTCAGAGTTGAACATTCCCTTTCATAGAGTAGGTTTGAAACCCTCTTTTTATAGTGTCTGGAAGCGGGCATTTGGAGCGCTTTCAGGCCTATGCTTAAAATAGGAAATATCTACCTACAGAAACTAGACAGAAGCATTCTGAGAATCACGTTTGTGATGTGGGTACTCAACTAACAGTGTTGATCCATTCTTTTGATACAGCAGTTTTGAACCACACTTTTTGTAGAATCTGCAAGAGGATATATGGATAGCTGTGAGGATTTCGTTGGAAACGGGAATGTCTTCAAAGAAAATCTAGACAGAAGCATTCTCAGAACCTTGATTGTGATGTGTGTTCTCCACTAACAGAGTTGAACCTTTCTTTAGACACAACTGTTCTGAAACATTCTTTTTATAGAATCTGGAAGTGGATATTTGGAAAGCTTTGAGGATTTCGTTGGAAACGGGAATATCTTCAAATAAAATCTAGCCAGAAGCATTCTAAGAAACATCTTAGGGATGTTTACATTCAAGTCACAGAGTTGAACATTCCCTTTCACAGAGCAGGTTTGAAACAATCTTCTCGTACTATCTGGCAGTGGACATTTTGAGCTCCTTGGGGCCTATGCTGAAAAAGGAAATATCTTCCGACAAAAACTAGACAGAAGCATTCGCAGAATCACGTTTGTGATGTGTGCACTCAACTGTCAGAATTGAACCTTGGTTTGGACAGAGCACTTTTGAAACACTCTTTTTGTAGAATCTGCAGGTGGATATTTGGCTAGCTTTGAGGATTTCGTTGGAAACGGTAATGTCTTCAAAGAAAATCTAGACAGAAGCATTCTCAGAAACACCTTCGTGATGTTTGCAATCAAGTCACAGAGTTGAACCTTCCGTTTCATAGAGCAGGTTGGAAACACTCTTATTGTAGTATCTGGAAGTGGACATTTGGAGCGCTTTCAGGCCTATGGTGAAAAAGGAAATATCTTCCCATAAAAACGACATAGAAGCTATCTCAGGAACTTGTTTATGATGCATCTAATCAACTAACAGTGTTGAACCTTTGTACTGACAGAGCAGTTTGAAACACTCTTTTTTTGGAATCTGCAAGTGGATATTTGGATCGCTTTGAGGATTTCGTTGGAAACGGGATGCAATATAAAACGTACACAGCAGCATACTCAGAAAATACTTTGCCATATTTCCATTCAAGTCACAGAGTGGAACATTCCCATTCATAGAGCAGGTTGGAAACACTCTTTTTGGAGTATCTGGAAGTGGACATTTGGAGCGCTTTCTGAACTATGGTGAAAAAGGAAATATCTTCCAATGAAAACAAGACAGAAGCATTCTGAGAAACTTATTTGTGATGTGTGTCCTCAACAAACGGACTTGAACCTTTCGTTTCATGCAGTACTTCTGGAACACTCTTTTTGAAGATTCTGCATGCGGATATTTGGATAGCTTTGAGGATTTCGTTGGAAACGGGCTTACATGTAAAAATTAGACAGCAGCATTCTCAGAAACTTCTTTGTGGTGTCTGCATTCAAGTCACAGAATTGAACTTCCCCTCACATAGAGCAGTTGTGCAGCACTCTATTTGTAGTATCTGGAAGTGGACATTTGGAGGGCTTTGTAGCCTATCTGGAAAAAGGAAATATCTTCCCATGAATGCGAGATAGAAGTAATCTCAGAAACATGTTTATGCTGTATCTACTCAACTAACTGTGCTGAACATTTCTATTGATAGAGCAGTTTTGAGACACTCTTCTTTAGGAATCTGCAAGTGGATATTTGGATAGATTTGAGGATTTCGTTGGAAAAGGGATTATATATAAAAAGTAGACAGCAGCATTCTCAGAAACTTCTTTGTGATGTTTGCATCCAGCTCTCAGAGTTGAACATTCCCTTTCATAGAGTAGGTTTGAAACCCCCTTTTTATACTGTCTGGAAGCGGGCATTTGGAGCGCTTTCAGGCCTATGCTGAAAAAGGAATTATCTACCTACAGAAACTAGACAGAAGCATTCTGAGAATCACGTTTGTGATGTGGGTACTCAACTAACAGTGTTGATCCATTCTTTTGATACAGCAGTTTTGAACCACCCTTTTTGTAGAATCTGCAAGTGGATATTTGGATAGCTGTGAGGATTTCGTTGGAAACGGGAATGTCTTCATAGAAAATTTAGACAGAAGCATTCTCAGAACCTTGATTGTGATGTGTGTTCTCCACTAACAGAGTTGAACCTTTCTTTTGACAGAACTGTTCTGAAACATTCTTTTTATAGAATCTGGAAGTGGATATTTGGAAAGCTTTGAGGATTTCGTTGGAAACGGGAATATCTTCAAATAAAATCTAGCCAGAAGCATTCTAAGAAACATCTTAGGGATGTTTACATTCAAGTCACAGAGTTGAACATTCCCTTTCACAGAGCAGGTTTGAAACAATCTTCTCGTACTATCTGGCAGTGGACATTTTGAGCTCCTTGGGGCCTATGCTGAAAAAGGAAATATCTTCCGACAAAAACTAGACAGAAGCATTCGCAGAATCACGTTTGTGATGTGTGCACTCAACTGTCAGAATTGAACCTTGGTTTGGACAGAGCACTTTTGAAACACTCTTTTTGTAGTATCTGCAGGTGGATATTTGGCTAGCTCTGAGGATTTCATTGGAAACGGTAATGTCTTCAAAGAAAATCTAGACAGAAGCATTCTCAGAAACACCTTCGTGATGTTTGCAATCAAGTCACAGAGTTGAACCTTCCGTTTCATAGAGCAGGTTGGAAACACTCTTTTTGTAGTATCTGGAAGTGGACATTTGGAGGGCTTTGTAGCCTATGTGGAAAAAGGAAATATCTTCCCATGAATGCGAGATAGAAGCTATCTCAGGAACTTGTTTATGATGCATCTAATCAACTAACAGTGTTGAACCTTTGTACTGACAGAGCAGTTTGAAACACTCTTTTTTTGGAATCTGCAAGTGGATATTTGGATCGCTTTGAGGATTTCGTTGGAAACGGGATGCAATATAAAACGTACACAGCAGCATACTCAGAAAATACTTTGCCATATTTCCATTCAAGTCACAGAGTGGAACATTCCCATTCATAGAGCAGGTTTGACACACTCTTTTTGTAGTATCTGGAAGTGGACATTTGGAGCGCTTTCTGAACTATGGTGAAAAAGGAAATATCTTCCAATGAAAACAAGACAGAAGCATTCTGAGAAACTTATTTGTGATGTGTGTCCTCAACAAACGGACTTGAACCTTTCGTTTCATGCAGTACTTCTGGAACACTCTTTTTGAAGATTCTGCATGCGGATATTTGGATAGCTTTGAGGATTTCGTTGGAAACGGTCTTACATGTAAAAATTAGACAGCAGCATTCTCAGAAACTTCTTTGTGGTGTCTGCATTCAAGTCACAGAATTGAACATCCCCTCACATAGAGCAGTTGTGCAGCACTCTATTTGTAGTATCTCGAAGTGGACATTTGGAGGGCTTTGTAGCCTATCTGGAAAAAGGAAATATCTTCCCATGAATGCGAGATAGAAGTAATCTCAGAAACATGTTTATGCTGTATCTACTCAACTAACTGTGCTGAACATTTCTATTGATAGAGCAGTTTTGAGACACTCTTCTTTTGGAATCTGCAAGTGGATATTTGGATAGATTTGAGGATTTCGTTGGAAACGGGATTATATATCAAAAGTAGACAGCAGCATTCTCAGAAACTTCTTTGTGATGTTTGCATCCAGCTCTCAGAGTTGAACATTCCCTTTCATAGAGTAGGTTTGAAACCCTCTTTTTATAGTGTCTGGAAGCGGGCATTTGGAGCGCTTTCAGGCCTATGCTGAAAAAGGAAATATCTACCTATAGAAACTAGACAGAAGCATTCTGAGAATCACGTTTGTGATGTGGGTACTCAACTAACAGTGTTGATCCATTCTTTTGATACAGCAGTTATGAACCACACTTTTTGTAGAATCTGCAAGTGGATATTTGGATAGCTGTGAGGATTTCCTTGGAAACGGGAATGTCTTCATAGAAAATTTAGACAGAAGCATTCTCAGAACCTTGATTGTGATGTGTGTTGTCCAATAACAGGGTTGAACCTTTCTTTTGACAGAACTGTTTTGAAACATTCTTTTTATAGAATCTGGAAGTGGATATTTGGAAAGCTTTGAGGATTTCGTTGGAAACGGGAATATCTTCAAATCAAATCTAGCCAGAAGCATTCTAAGAAACATCTTAGGGATGTTTACATTCAAGTCACAGAGTTGAACATTCCCTTTCACAGCGCAGGTTTGAAACAATCTTCTCGTACTATCTGGAAGTGGACATTTTGAGCTCCTTGGGGCCTATGCTGAGAAAGGAAATAGCTTCCGACAAAAACTAGACAGAAGCATTCGCAGAATCACGTTTGTGATGTGTGCACTCAACTGTCAGCATTGAACCTTGGTTTGGACAGAGCACTTTTGAAACACACTTTTTGAAGGATCTGCAGGTGGATATTTGGCTAGCTTTGAGGATTTCGTTGGAAACGGTAATGTCTTCAAAGAAAATCTAGACAGAAGCATTCTCAGAAACACCTTCGTGATGTTTGCAATCAAGTCACAGAGTTGAACCTTCCGTTTCATAGAGCAGGTTGGAAACACTCTTATTGTAGTATCTGGAAGTGGACATTTGGAGCGCTTTCAGGCCTATGGTGAAAAAGGAAATATCTTCCCATAAAAACGACATAGAAGCTATCTCAGGAACTTGTTTATGATGCATCTAATCAACTAACAGTGTTGAACTTTTGTACTGACAGAGCAGTTTGAAACACTCTTTTTTTGGAATCTGCAAGTGGATATTTGGATCGCTTTGAGGATTTCGTTGGAAACGGGATGCAATATAAAACGTACACAGCAGCATACTCAGAAAATACTTTGCCATATTTCCATTCAAGTCACAGAGTGGAACATTCCCATTCATAGAGCAGGTTTGACACACTCTTTTTGTAGTATCTGGAAGTGGACATTTGGAGCGCTTTCTGAACTATGGTGAAAAAGGAAATATCTTCCAATGAAAACAAGACAGAAGCATTCTGAGAAACTTATTTGTGATGTGTGTCCTCAACAAACGGACTTGAACCTTTCGTTTCATGCAGTACTTCTGGAACACTCTTTTTGAAGATTCTGCATGCGGATATTTGGATAGCTTTGAGGATTTCGTTGGAAACGGCCTTACATGTAAAAATTAGACAGCAGCATTCTCAGAAACTTCTTTGTGGTGTCTGCATTCAAGTCACAGAATTGAACTTCCCCTCACATAGAGCAGTTGTGCAGCACTCTATTTGTAGTATCTGGAAGTGGACATTTGGAGGGCTTTGTAGCCTATCTGGAAAAAGGAAATATCTTCCCATGAATGCGAGATAGAAGTAATCTCAGAAACATGTTTATGCTGTATCTACTCAACTAACTGTGCTGAACATTTCTATTGATAGAGCAGTTTTGAGACACTCTTCTTTTGGAATCTGCAAGTGGATATTTGGATAGATTTGAGGATTTCGTTGGAAACGGGATTATATATAAAAAGTAGACAGCAGCATTCTCAGAAACTTCTTTGTGATGTTTGCATCCAGCTCTCAGAGTTGAACATTCCCTTTCATAGAGTAGGTTTGAAACCCTCTTTTTATAGTGTCTGGAAGCGGGCATTTGGAGCGCTTTCAGGCCTATGCTGAAAAAGGAAATATCTACCTATAGAAACTAGACAGAAGCATTCTGAGAATCACGTTTGTGATGTGGGTACTCAACTAACAGTGTTGATCCATTCTTTTGATACAGCAGTTTTGAACCACACTTTTTGTAGAATCTGCAAGTGGATATTTGGATAGCTGTGAGGATTTCGTTGGAAACGGGAATGTCTTCATAGAAAATTTAGACAGAAGCATTCTCAGAACCTTGATTGTGATGTGTGTTCTCCACTAACAGAGTTGAACCTTTCTTTTGACAGAACTGTTCTGAAACATTCTTTTTATAGAATCTGGAAGTGGATATTTGGAAAGCTTTGAGGATTTCGTTGGAAACGGGAATATCTTCAAATAAAATCTAGCCAGAAGCATTCTAAGAAACATCTTAGGGATGTTTACATTCAAGTCACAGAGTTGAACATTCCCTTTCACAGAGCAGGTTTGAAACAATCTTCTCGTACTATCTGGCAGTGGACATTTTGAGCTCCTTGGGGCCTATGCTGAAAAAGGAAATATCTTCCGACAAAAACTAGACAGAAGCATTCGCAGAATCACGTTTGTGATGTGTGCACTCAACTGTCAGAATTGAACCTTGGTTTGGACAGAGCACTTTTGAAACACTCTTTTTGTAGAATCTGCAGGTGGATATTTGGCTAGCTTTGAGGATTTCGTTGGAAACGGTAATGTCTTCAAAGAAAATCTAGACAGAAGCATTCTCAGAAACACCTTCGTGATGTTTGCAATCAAGTCACAGCAGTTGAACCTTCCGTTTCATAGAGCAGGTTGGAAACACTCTTATTGTAGTATCTGGAAGTGGACATTTGGAGCGCTTTCAGGCCTATGGTGAAAAAGGAAATATCTTCCCATAAAAACGACATAGAAGCTATCTCAGGAACTTGTTTATGATGCATCTAATCAACTAACAGTGTTGAACCTTTGTACTGACAGAGCACTTTGAAACACTCTTTTTTTGGAATCTGCAAGTGGATATTTGGATCGCTTTGAGGATTTCGTTGGAAACGGGATGCAATATAAAACGTACACAGCAGCATACTCAGAAAATACTTTGCCATATTTCCATTCAAGTCACAGAGTGGAACATTCCCATTCATAGAGCAGGTTGGAAACACTCTTTTTGGAGTATCTGGAAGTGGACATTTGGAGCGCTTTCTGAACTATGGTGAAAAAGGAAATATCTTCCAATGAAAACAAGACAGAAGCATTCTGAGAAACTTATTTGTGATGTGTGTCCTCAACAAACGGACTTGAACCTTTCGTTTCATGCAGTACTTCTGGAACACTCTTTTTGAAGATTCTGCATGCGGATATTTGGATAGCTTTGAGGATTTCGTTGGAAACGGGCTTACATGTAAAAATTAGACAGCAGCATTCTCAGAAACTTCTTTGTGGTGTCTGCATTCAAGTCACAGAATTGAACTTCCCCTCACATAGAGCAGTTGTGCAGCACTCTATTTGTAGTATCTGGAAGTGGACATTTGGAGGGCTTTGTAGCCTATCTGGAAAAAGGAAATATCTTCCCATGAATGCGAGATAGAAGTAATCTCAGAAACATGTTTATGCTGTATCTACTCAACTAACTGTGCTGAACATTTCTATTGATAGAGCAGTTTTGAGACACTCTTCTTTTGGAATCTGCAAGTGGATATTTGGATAGATTTGAGGATTTCGTTGGAAACGGGATTATATATCAAAAGTAGACAGCAGCATTCTCAGAAACTTCTTTGTGATGTTTGCATCCAGCTCTCAGAGTTGAACATTCCCTTTCATAGAGTAGGTTTGAAACCCTCTTTTTATAGTGTCTGGAAGCGGGCATTTGGAGCGCTTTCAGGCCTATGCTTAAAATAGGAAATATCTACCTACAGAAACTAGACAGAAGCATTCTGAGAATCACGTTTGTGATGTGGGTACTCAACTAACAGTGTTGATCCATTCTTTTGATACAGCAGTTTTGAACCACACTTTTTGTAGAATCTGCAAGTGGATATTTGGATAGCTGTGAGGATTTCGTTGGAAACGGGAATGTCTTCATAGAAAATTTAGACAGAAGCATTCTCAGAACCTTGATTGTGATGTGTGTTCTCCACTAACAGAGTTGAACCTTTCTTTTGACAGAACTGTTCTGAAACATTCTTTTTATAGAATCTGGAAGTGGATATTTGGAAAGCTTTGAGGATTTCGTTGGAAACGGGAATATCTTCAAATAAAATCTAGCCAGAAGCATTCTAAGAAACATCTTAGGGATGTTTACATTCAAGTCACAGAGTTGAACATTCCCTTTCACAGAGCAGGTTTGAAACAATCTTCTCGTACTATCTGGCAGTGGACATTTTGAGCTCCTTGGGGCCTATGCTGAAAAAGGAAATATCTTCCGACAAAAACTAGACAGA